>NC_000009.12:105493279-105644794 GCF_000001405.40 Homo sapiens
TTGTTGGTTTAAAGTCTGTTTTATCAGAAACTAGGATTGCAACCCCTGCCTTTTTTAGTTTTCCATTTGCTTGGTACATCTTCCTCCATCCTTTTATTTTGAGCCTATGTGTGTCTCTGCACGTGAGATGGGTTTCCTGAATACAGCACACTGATGGGTCTTGACTCTTTATCCAATTTGCCAGTCTGTGTCTTTTAATTGGAGCATTTAGTCCATTTACATTTAAGGTTAATATTGTTATGTGTGAATTTGATCCTGTCATTATGATGTTAGCTGGTGATTTTGCTCGTTAGTTGATGCAGTTTCTTCCTAGCCTCGATGGTCTTTACAATTTGGCCTGATTTTGCAGTGGCTGGTACTGGTTTTTCCTTTCCATGTTTACTGCTTCCTTCAGGAGCTCTTTTAGGGCAGGCCTGGTGGTGACAAAATCTCTCAGCATTTGCTTGTCTGTAAAGTATTTTATTTCTCCTTCACTTATGAAGCTTAGTTTGGCTGGATATGAAATTCTGGGTTGAAAATTCTTTTCTTTAAGAATGTTGAATATTGGCCCCCACTCTCTTCTGGTTTGTAGAGTTTCTGCCGAGAGATCCGCTGTTAGTCTGATGGGCTTCCCTTTGTGGATAACCCGACCTTTCTCTCTGGCTGCCCTTAACATTTTTTCCTTCATTTCAACCTTGGTGAATCTGACAATTATGTGTCTTGGAGTTGCTCTTCTTGAGGAGTATCTTTGTGTCATTCTCTGTATTTCCTTAATCTGAATGTTGGCCTGCCTTGCTAGATTGAGGAAGTTCTCCTGGATAATATCCTGCAGAGTGTTTTCCAACTTGGTTCCATTCTCCCCGTCACTTTCAGGTACACCAATCAGACATAGATTTGGTCTTTTCACATAGTCCCATATTTCTTGGAGGCTTTGTTCATTTCTTTTTATTCTTTTTTCTCTAAACTTCCCTTCTCGCTTCATTTCATTCATTTCATCTTCCATTGCTGATACCCTTTCTTCCAGTTGATTGCATCGGCTCCTGAGGCTTCTGCATTCTTCACGTAGTTCTCGAGCCTTGGCTTTCAGCTCCATCAGCTCCTTTAAGCACTTCTCTGTATTGGTTATTCTAGTTATACATTCGTCTAAATTTTTTTCAAAGTTTTCAACTTCTTTGCCTTTGGTTTGAATTTCCTCCTGTAGCTTGGAGTAGTTTGATCGTCTGAGGCCTTCTTCTCTCAACTCGTCAAAGTCATTCTCCATTCAGCTTTGCTCCATTTCTGGTGAGGAGCTGCGTTCCTTTGGAGGAGGAGAGGCGCTCTGGTTTTTAGAGTTTCCAGTTTTTCTGTTCTGTTTTTTCCCCATCTTTGTGGTTTTATCTACTTTTGGTCTTTGATGATGGTGATGTACAGATGGGTTTTTGGCGTGGATGTCCTTTCTGCTTGTTAGTTTTCCTTCTAACAGACAGGACCTCAGCTGCAGGTCTTTTGAAGTTTGCTAGAGGTGCACTCCAGACCCTGTTTGCCTGGGTACCAGCAGCGGTGGCTGCAGAACAGTGGATTTTCGTGAACCGCAAATGCTGCTGTCTTATCGTTCCCCTGGAAGTTTTGTCTCAGAGGAGTACCCGGCCGTGTGAGGTGTCAGTCTGCCCCTATGGAGGGGGTGCCTCCCAGTTAGGCTGCTCGGGGGTCAGGGGTCACGGACCCACTTGAGGAGGCTGTCTGCCTGTTCTCAGATCTCCAGCTGCATGCTGGGAGAGCCACTGCTCTCTTCAAAGCTGTCAGGGACATTGAAGTCTGCAGAGGTTACTGCTGTCTTTTTGTTCGTCTGTGCCCTGCCCCCAGAGGTGGAGCCTACAGAGGCAGGCAGGCCTCCTTGAGCTGTGGTGGGCTCCACCCAGTTTGAGCTTCCCGGCTGCTTTGTTGACCTAAGCAAGCCTGGGCAATGGCGGGTGCCCCTCCCCTAGCCTCGCTGCCACCTTGCAGTTTGATCTCAGACTGCTGTGCTAGCAATCAGCGAGACTCCGTGGGTGTAGGACCCTCGGAGCCAGGTGCGGGATATAATCTCCTGGTGCGCTGTTTTTAAAGCCCGTCGGAAAAGTGCAGTATTGGGGTGGGAATGACCTGATTTTCCAGGTGCCGTCTGTCACCCCTTTCTTTGACTAGGATAGGGAACTCCCTGACCCCTTGCTCTTCCCGAGTGAGGCAATGCCTCGCCCTGCTTCGGCTCGTGCAGGGTGCGCTGCACCCACTGTCCTGCGCCCACTGTCTGGCACTCCCTAGTGAGATGAACCCGGTACCTCAGATGGAAATGCAGAAATCACCTGTCTTCTGCGTAGCTCACGCTGGGAGCTGTAGACCGGAGCTGTTCCTATTCGGCCATCTTGGCTCCAGCTCGGGTTGTTTCTTTTCTTATTGTTGAATATTAAGAGTTCTTTGGGCCGGGCGCGGTGGCTCACGCCTGTAACCCCAGCATTTTGGGAGCCCGAGGCGGGCAGATCACAAGGTCAGGAGATCGAGACCATCCTGGCTAACATGGTGAAACCTCCTCTGTACTAAAAATACAAAAATTAGCTGGGCGTAGTGATGGGCGCATGTAGTCCCAGCTCCTCGGGAGGCTGAGGCAGAATGGCATGAACCCGGGAGGCGGAGCTTGCAGTGAGCCGAGATTGCACCACTGCACTGCAGCCTGGCAGCAGAGTGAGACTCCATCTAAAAAAAAAAAAAAAAGAAAAGGAATTCTGTGTAGTCCTTATCAGATGTTTCTTTTGCAAATATTGTCTCCCTGTCTGGCTTTTTTTCCCCTTGACGATGTCTTTTACAGAGCAAGATTTTTAATTCTAATAATGTTTAGCCTATCTTACTGTTTCTTTCATGAAGCTTGCCTTTGGTTCCTTTGATCTATTTGTCTCTTCTTTCACCAGTACCAGGTCTTGATGACTGTAGCTTTTTTTTTTTTTTTTTTTGTGTCGGAATCTCGCTGTGTCGCCCAGGCTGGAGTGCAGTGGCACAATCTCTCTGCTCACTGCAAGCTCCGCCTCCCGTACTATGTCTGAGAGTTGACTAGTTTCAGTCTTCCAACTTTGATCTTCTTTTTCAATACTGTGTTGCCTTTATCTGGATCCTTTGCCTTTCCATATAAACTTTAGAGTCATCTTATTGATATCCACAAAATAGCTTACTGGGATTATGATTGGGATTGCAATCAATCTGTAGGTCAAATTGGGAAGAACTGACATCTTAAGAACATTGAGTATTTCTATCCATAAACATTGGAATGTCTCTACATTGATTTAGTTCTTTGATTTCTTTCATTAGAGTTTTGTAGTTTTCCTCATATAAACATGGAACATATTTTGTTAGATTTGTATCAAAAGATTTCATTTTGGGGGTGCTGATGTAAATGGTATTGTGTTTTAATTTCAAATTTCACTTGTTCATTTCTGGTATACAGGAAAGTGGTAGGCCTTGTATCCTGCAGCCTTGCTGCAATCACTTACTAGTTTCAGGAGTTTTTTGTTGATTCTTTTGGATTTTCTACCTAGATGATCATGTTGTTTGTTAACAAAGACAGTTTTATTTCTTTCTTCCCAACCTGAATACCTTGTATTGTCGTACTGCATTACCTAGGACTTCCAGTACTATGTTGGAAGCAGTAGAAAGAGGGGGATCCTTGCCTTGTTCCTGAACTTAGTGGAAACATTTTGAGTTTCTCTCCATTAAGTATGGTGTTAGCTGTAATTTTTTTTGTAGCTATTTCTTAACAAGTTGAGTTGAGGAAGTTCCTTTCTGTTCCTATTTCACTGAGAGTTTTTATTTTGAATGAGTGTTGGAATTTGTGAAATGCATTTTTTGGCATCTATTTTTATGATTGTGAGATTTTTCTTTTTAAGCCTGTTGATGTGATGGGTTACATTGATTTTTCAAATGTCGAACCAGCCTGCATACTTGGAATAAATACCAGTTGGTCAAGGGTATAATTCTTTTTGTTAATTGTTGGATTTGATTTGCTATATTTTGTTGAGGATTTTTCACATCTAATTTATGAGACATACTGGTTTGTAGTTTTCTTTTGGAGTAATATCTTTGTCAGTTTTGGTATTAGGGTAATGCTGGCCTCATAGAAAGAGTTAGGAAGTATTCTCTCTATTTTTCTCTTCTGCAAGAGATTGTAGAGAGTTAGTGTACTTTTGTCCTGAAAAGTATGGTAGAATTCACCAGTGAACACTTTTGTGCCTGGTGCTTTCTGTTTTGGAAAGTTATTAGTATCGATTCAATTTTTAAAATAGATAGAGGCCTATTCAGATTGTCTGTTTTCCTTGTGGGTTTTGGCAGATTGTGTCTGTCATAGAATTGGTCCTTTTGGGTTATCAAATTTGTGGACATAGAGTTATTCACAGAATTCCTTGATTAGCTTTTTAATGTCCATGGGATCTTTGTTGATGCCCCCTCTTTCATTTTTGATACTAGTTATTTGATACTAGTTATTTATTGATTCCATTGATCTGTCAAAGAACCAGGTTTTGCTTTCAGGATTTTTTTCCATTGATTTCCCTCTTTTCAGTTTCATTGATTTCTGTTCTTGTTTTTTGTTTGTTTGTTTTTAGAGATAGAGTCTTGCTCAGTTGCCCAGTCTGGAATGTAGTTATATAATCATAGCTCACTGCAGCCTTGAACTCCTGGGCTCAAGGGATCTTCCTGCCACAGCCTTCTCAGTAGTTAGGACTACAGGCATGTGCTACCATGCCCAGCTAATTTAAATCTTTTTTTGTAGAGATGGGGTCTTACTGTGTTGCCTAGACTGGTCTCAAACCCCTGGCCTCAAGTGATCTTCCCACCTCAGCCTTCTAAAGCACTGGGACTACAGGTGTGACTACCACACCCAACCTGATTTTTGTTCTAATTTTCATTATTTCTTTTCTGCTTGCTTTGGCTTTATTATTATTATTATTATTATTATTATTATTATTGTTTTTAGTTTACCAAGGCGAAAGCTTAAATTACTTGTTTTAGATCTTCTTTTCTAATATAATCATTTGTCAGTGGTGGGGATACATTCTAAGAAATGTGATGTTTGGCAATTTTGTCATTGTGCAAACATCATAGAGTGTATTTACACAAACCAAGATGGTATAGTCTCCTACACATCTAGGCTATATTATATAGCAGATTGTTCCTAGGCTACAAACCTGTACAGCATGTTACTGTACTGAATACTGTAAGCAGTTGTAACACAATGATAATAATTTGTGTATCTAAACATATCTAAACTTAGAAAAAAATACAGTCAAAATATGGTATTGTAATTTTATGGGACCACTTTTGTATATGTGGTCTGTCATTGACCAAAATGTTGTTATATGGCTTATGGCTCATGACCATATGTGCATTCAGTGTTATAATTTCCCTCTAAGCACTATTTTCGTTGCATTCAACAAATTTTGATAAGTTGTGTTTTCATTTTCATTTAGTTCAAAATATTTTAAAATTTCTCTTGAGATTTATTCTTTGACTATGTGTTGTTTAGAAGTGTGGTTTTTATATTTTTAGTAGAGATGGGGTTTCGCCATGTTGGCCAAGCTGGTCTTGAACTCCTCATCTCAAGTGATCCGCCCCCCTCCCAAAGTGCAAAGATTACAGGCATGAGCCACCGCGCCCATGCTAGAAGTGGGTTGTTTAATCTCAAAGTATTTTGGGACTTTGCAGCTATATATCTTTTTCTGTTAAGTGATTTCTAATTTAATCATTGCATGATTTCTATGCTTTTGAATTTGTTAATGTGTGTTTTACAGCCCAGAATGTAGTCTTTGTCTTGGCAAATGTTCTATAGGAGCTTGAGAAGGATGTATATTCTGCCATTGTTGGTTGAAGTAGTCTGTAGATATCAATTACATGCAGTTGATTGATGGAGTTGTTGAGTTCAACCATGTACTTAGTGATTTTCTGCCTCTCTCCCATCACTTGTATCATTGTTGTCATTTATTTCACTTATGCAGCAGTATGTGTAAGCACAGATACACCACACACATTCAAATAAATAGTTGCCCTTATTGTTTTGAATTAACTGTTACTGGTTAGATCAGTCAAGAATAAGAAAAATAAGTTTTTATTTTACCTTCACTTATCCTTCTCCATTGCTCTTTGTTTCTTTGTCTTTAAAGAACTTTTTAAAAACATTTCTTCATAGCATGTCTATTGGCAACAGATTTCCTCAATTTTTATTTGTCTGAGAGAGTTTTTATTTCTCCTTCACTACTGAAGGATAATTTCAAGGTATACAGAATTGCTCCTCTATAGGTAAGGTCCCCTCCTCCGCCCCCACCTGGCTTCTTTCAAGTGTTTTCCTTGTCTTTGATTTTCTGTGGTCTGAATATATGCCTAGATACAGTTTTTGTTTATGTGTGTATGGCAGGGAGCATTTATTTTGGTTGATGTTCCCTGAGCATCCTAGATCTGTAGTTTGGTGTCTGATATTAGTTTGGGATTTTCTCAGTCATTATTGTTTCAAATATATCTTCTGTTCCTTTCTGTCTTCTTCTTCTGTAATTTCCATTATACATATTTACTCCTTTCGTACTTCCACAGTAAATTTTGGATATTCTGTTCTGTGGGGTTTCTTCCAATCTTTTTTGTCTTTGCTGTTTCATCTTGCAGGTTTCTATTGAGAGATCTTCAAACTCAAAAGATTCTTTCCAGTCAGCTATTAAGTCCATTAAATTATTCTTAATTTATGGTACAGTGCTTTTTATCTTTAGCCTTTCTTTGCGGTTTTTTCTTAGAATTTCTAGCGCTCCACTTGTATTGCCCATCTGTTCTTTTATGCTGTCTACTTTCTCCATTTTATGCTCTCTGCTTTCTCCATGAGAGCCCTCAGAATATTATAGCTGTTTTTAATTATTGGTCTGATAATTCCAGCATTTCTGCCATATCTGAGTCTTGTAATTTTTTCTTGATGACCAGACATGTATTGGGTTAAAGAAACTGATGTAAACTGGCCTTTATTAATGTGGTAGTAAGGTGTGTGGGAGGGGCAGCATTCTGTAGCACCATAATTAGGTCTCAGTCTTTTGGTGAGCCTGTGCCTCTGGACCGTGAACTTTGCAAGGGACTTCTCAGTTTTCCCCACTCCTTATTCCTGGATTTTTCGGTGGAACAGGATGGCTGGAGTGGGCTGGGGTTGGTCTGGGTATTTCCCTTTGCCCACATGGAGTAGCTCATTGGAGTTGGATATTTCCCTTTCCCCAGGTCACTTAGTCTCTGTTAAAACCCCAACAGATTAGACTATGATTAAATAGTTTCTCTTAAGGGAACAGAAACTCTGATGTATTTCAAAATACTTCCTTTTCTCCTCCCCCTGCTGTGGAAGCATAAGGGGATTTTTCTCTGTTAGTTATTCATGGTGAGAACCTGGTAAGCTCCTGGAGGTAAAACTCACAAATGTGTGGGGACACTCCTATGACTGGGTCTCCTTGGAGCTGGACTCTCAGACATTCTGCTGTATTCCTTAAGTAAGTACAATTTCAATTAAAATTTAAATAAAAATTTTGCCAAGGGATTATAATCTCAAGCATTTGAGATAGTTTATTTCCCTTTCATTTCCAAATGGAGTAGTTTTATGGAGAAAACTCAGCTTAATAATATCAGAAAGGCTTTTCTAATAGCCACAACTGACTAACTATGACAAGATCAATTTTAGGAAATAGTAACTCTTCCCATCACTAAAATAATTCGGTAAGAAGCTTGACAATAACTTGAAGCCAGTGTTGTAAAGGGAATCCATTCATCAGAAGATATTGACCAGTGCTTCTCAAACTTTAAAGTGCATGCAAATCAACTGCAGATTCTGATTCAAGAGTCTTAGTGTTGGACTTGAAGTAACTTAGGCTTATTTTTGCACACATTCAAGGTGAGAAGCACTGCCTTATTTATAAAAGCTCAGCAATATAACACAATAAAATTGTTTTATGCGGGATTTTTTTTTTTGCTATCATAGGATCCCTCCAGAGTATGGTAGTTATATGATAGTTATAGCAGTCTATGATAGTATATGAGTCCTCTTCTTTTCTATTTGAAATTTTTGAAGTTTTTTTCAGATTGTGTCCTCTTGCTCTGGCTTTCATGAATTCTTTAAGGTGACACTGTTGCTTATTTCTAAAGTTCCCATCGTTTACAGTTTTTTATTGTTTGAGACAGGGTATTTCTCTATCACCCAGGCTGGAGTGCAGTGGCATCATCATAGTTCACTGTAGCCTCTAACTCCTGGCTCAAGCGGTCTTTCTGCATCAGCCTCCTGAGTTGCTAGGACTACAGGTGCATGCCACCACACCCAGCTAATTTTTAATTTTTTTTTTTTTTTTTGCAGAGATAGAGATCTCACTGTGTTGCTCAGGCTGGTCTCAAACTCCTGGCCTCAAGCCATCCTCTAGCCATAGTCTCCCAAAGTGCTGGGATTATAGGTGTGAACCACTGCACCCAGCCATCATTTCCGCGTTTACATCTGTGTTCTTCTTATTGGTCATACTTAGGTCCAAAAAAGTTAGTTTACCAAACACAGACTGTACTTTCCAGGTTATTAAATTATCAATAAGGCAAATTCAGAACTTTTCAGAGATTCTGCCTTTAGGTTCCTTTAGTTTTCCAGGTCAGTTAGGTTCCTATCATTCATCCCTTTGTGTTAGTTTTGTAGATCACTCATTTCCACCTGGCCAGATAGTTTAACTTTCATGTATATTTTTTTCTTTTTATCATTATTCAGATATCTTTCTGCATGTTACTGCTCTTCGATTTTATATATTTTTATATACTAACATATATGGCCTTAGCTTAGAGTGCCTTTCTTTAAGAATAGTAAAGGCTGTTGTCTCTAAGTCAAACTGCTTATGTTTAAATCCTGTTTCTTCTTTAATTGTCTAGCTGTGCAATCTTGAGCAAGTTACTTTGACATCTTTGAGCCCCTAATAAAGATAATGATAATATAAAGTTTATGGTATTGTAATGGTAAGGATTAATATGGAAAGCACTCAATAAATGATAGCTATTGTTGTTACTACCATTATTCGTTTTTACTTTTCTATTTAACTTAGGAAGAAAACTTTGATTGTTGCCTTTGAAATTGTATATTTTACTTTGTATTTATCTTAGGTTCACTTTTTTACTCATACTTGGAGAATTTACGTGTTGATTTATAGCAGTTGAGGCTTTAACTGTTTTCTATCCCCTTCTCAGTTTTCTCATGTGAATGACTGATACCAATGATAACATTTTTCCCCCATAATGTTTTCTGTTGTAAGTAGAACTTTTCTCCCCTAAAATCCAGTGTATACATCTTCATTTTCTTTATCTAGGTTTCCCATCACTTCTGCATTCTGACAGAGAGTGCACATACACATAGATATTACTACTACTTTGATAAAAAAAAATGATTTAAAACGCCGTCTTCTCAACCTTACTTCTTCCCTTCTTTTGGGCTTTCAACAATGGCTTAACAGACCAAGACCATGCTTATTGTACAGTCAAATAGATTGCATGAACAGTTAGGATTTCCCTTTTTGGTAAAATGAGGTATGATTAAAAAAAAAAAGAAACCTTTTTCTGGAGGAGTTTCGTCCAGAAGGAAAACTGTAATAAGATTTTTTTTTTTTTTTTTTGAGACAAGGTCTTGCTGTGTTGCCCAGGCTGGAGTACAGTGGCACAACCACTGCAGCCTCAACCTCCTGGGCTTAAGCAACCCTCCTGCCTCAGCCTCCTGAGTAGCTGGGACCACACAGGCATGCACCGCCATACCCAACTAAATTTTTCTGATTTTTTTGTCAAAGTGAGATGGGGTCTCACTTTGTTGCCCAGGGTGGTCTCAAACTCCTGGGCTCAAGTGATCCTCCTGCCTCAGCTTCTTAAAGTACTAGGATTACAGGCATGAGCCACTATGCCCAGCAGAAAAATGTAGTAGGTTTTAAAAATTCATGAAGGATGCATTTAAATCTCTAATTTTTAATATTCTGTAGCATAAAAATTTTCTATAAGATGGAATCAAATTAACTTATAAAATGAAGAAATATCTATTAATTCCATAAATGCCACTATAATGTATCCTATAGTACATTATATGTAGTAATATTAGTTATGGACATACCTGAGTCTTAACAGTGGAAGTGACGATGATCAATGACAATTACAAAGTCATTATCTACTCTTAGCCATTTCTTATGCATTGAAATTTTGACTTTATATCCTTTCTCCTTTCTGGAGCTAAGAAAATAAGTCTGGCAATGCTGATGCCACTTACCTTTTACATTCAGGTGCAGAGAAAACATTTAGCAAATTCTTCAACTAATTTCTACACTATTGCTAGTTCATCACTGTTGCTTTATGGAAGTATGTAGGTAGATGTGTGGATTGCTTTCCTTCCAAAGACTTCTGCCTTGCCTAAGTAATATTTATATGTTATAAGTACACTATCTTTCATCTTCCCCTGAATTTGTATGCCGTATTTGATGAATTGTTTTCTTACTTCTATATAGAATCTAGAGTGAACTTCCCACGTTAGCTCCAAGTCAACCTAAATTTGACATACCACTCTTAAATTATCTAAATATCTTTGTCCCTCCCACGTGTCACCACTTTCTTATTTTTTTTCTTTTTAACCTCAGTTTCCATTTTGTCACTTGACTTTCTTTTGGGGACCATTATTCACAAGAAAGAAGAATCTGCCTGCCAGTGCAGTCTTACTAGAATGGCAGCTGAATTGAGATGTAGATAGCAGGGTGCTAACTAGTCCTACTCACCAATTAAGTGACTTTTTTTATACCAACCTCTCAGGACTTTCAGTTGCAGATTTATGACTCAGCAAAATTTTCACATTGCTACAGGCCATAGGCCTTTACATTTCCTTACATGTAGGCATAGCAGAGCATATTAAATTCATGAATGCCTATAGTCTCTTTATTCTCTTGGCAGTGAATAGTCTACAATTCTTATGTTTCAGTAGTAGACACTACCAAATATGTATTATAAGGACAGAAATCCTACAAGACAGATGAAGGAAACTCATGGTTATGACAAATAATAAATGCTTTTTTGGTTGTCAGTTGTCTTACTAATAAGTTATATCCAATTCTAAGTATTTATTGTACAATTACACATGTAGAATTTAACTTTGGGAAGACTCTAGTTAGTGGAAATGGATCATCCTTTCTAAGTCAAATTTTTCCATCTTGGTGTTATTTTACTGGGTTTATTATTTGTTAGCTCTCATGTTGCTTTGCATCTTAACTTTAATATGTAATTCTTTTGTTGTTGTGGTTTTGAAAAAAATTAGCAAGAGTCATCTCTCAGTATTTGTGGGGGACTGGTTCTAGCACCTTCGTTGAATTACCAAAATCCACAGATGCTCAAGTCCCTAAAAAATGGTTATTTGCATGTAACCTATGCACATCCTCCCATATACTTTAAGTCATCTCTAGATTACTTATAATACCTAATACAATGTAACCACTATGTCAATAGTTGTTATACTGTAGTTTTAAACTTTTTTATTGTTGTATTGTTATTTTTATTTTTTCCGAATATTTTTTGATCCAAGGCTGATTGAATCCGTGGATACAGAGGGCCAACTTTGCTTTGTTTTTTAGAACAGGGTTATATTTGTGGAGAATTGAGCATGATAATACAGAAAGTTACCATAAACCCACTACCTCCTCCATATACAATTTCCCCTGTTATTACTATTCTGCATTAGTGGGGTACATTTGATATAACTGATGAATCAACAGTGATACATTATTAGCTAAAGTTCATATTTTATATTAGCATTTACTCTTTGTGTTAAACAGTTCTGTGGGTTCTGATAAATGTATAGTGTCTTATATCTACCATTATATTACCATATAGAATAATTTCACTGCCCTAAAGTTCCTTTCTGTTCCGCTTATTCATCTCTTATATCCTGCAACCCTTCTGTGATCACTTGTTAGTTCCAGGAATTTTATTCTTTGTTGTTTTTTTGTTGTTGTTGTTTTGTTCTTTTTGAGACGGAGTCTCGCTCTGTTGCCCAGGCTGGAGTGTAGTGGCACGATCTCGGCTCACTGCAATCTCTGCCTCCTGGGTTCAAGCAATTCTTCTGCCTCAGCCTCATGAGTAGCTGGGATTACTGGCGCATGCCACCACACCTGGCTAATTTTTGTGTTTTTAGTAGAGACGGGGTTTCACTATGTTGGTCAGGCTGGTCTCGAACTCCTGACCTCGTGATCTGCCTGCCTTGGCCTCCCAAAGTGCTGGGATTACAGGTGTGAGCCACTGCGCCTGGCCTGTTTTTTGAATTTTCTACATAGGCAGTAATGTCATCCACAAAGAGTTTTATTTTTTACTTTATAATTGGTATTTTTCTTGTTTCATTGATATCATTATATAATTTTTCTGCAATTGATGTGATAGAATACATTAATTGATTTCAAATGTTTAACTAGCCTTGCATACCAGGAATAAATCTTTTGAATTCTTTTCTTTAGCAGTAAAATGTTTAAATCTGGTAGCTGCTGGACTGCATAGTTTCACCCAGTTCAGACAAGTCCGTATCACTGGAGGAACATGTTCTACATTTGTTATGTCAGTGGATCATGTGTTAATGTTAAAAAGCTATGAAATATGTCTTTCATGGAAAAGAAATTAATGTTCATACATTTTAAATGTGGCTCATTTACTTCAGTTTATTTTAATGAACTGTAGAACTCTTGGGAGAAACATTTAAAAATCCTTAAGTATTTTGCAGGGTTGGGAAACAAGATTTTAAAATACATTCAAGAGGGAAAATACACTCTTGAATTATTTCAGTCATTATATTCAAAGCAATTTATTCTATTTGTTAATATTGATTTAATTTATATTCTACAGCTATTTGAAATATCAATTAAAAATATAATGTGTTCAGAAGTAGCAAGTTATTCTCGATTCCTTATCCTTAGTGTGTGTACTTTGAAAATAGTTATTTTACATTTATGGGCTTTCCTTTTGCTTAATCTGATCTACTTTTGAACAGTTTAAAAGCATAATGAAAAAGCAGTTTGAATGATATAAATGTGATATCAATATTTGATTAGTGTTGTAATAAATGAGGAATGAATGAGTCTTTTTTTTTTTTCTTCTTTGCAGTCCCCAAAGCTCCAGAGATAGATCCAGTAGAGTGTTTGGTGGCAGATAACTCTGTAACAGTGGCTTGGAGAATGCCAGAAGAAGATAATAAGATTGACCATTTTATACTGGAACATAGGAAGACTAATTTTGATGGACTTCCACGTGTAAAGGATGAGCGATGCTGGGAGATAATTGATAATATTAAGGGTACTGAATATACACTATCAGGTAACATGACTGCATTTTAGGACTCTCATTCTCAGAAGATAAATGTATTGTTGAAAAATATTTTGAGTTACTTTAAAGAATAAAGTTTTAAAGTTTCTTTAGTCACACTGAGTTTTTAGATACTCAGTATGGAAGTGATTTTCTCTTGAAACATCAAGGAAACCCTTTTTTTTTTTTTAAGACAGGATCTTGTTCTATTATCTCCCAGGCTGGAGTGCAGTGGCGGGACCTTGGCCCACTGCAACCTCCGCCTCCTGGGTTCAAGTAATTCTCCCACCTCAGCTTCCTGACAAGCTGGGACTATAGGCACACGCCACCACACTTAGCTAATTTTTGTATTTGTTGGTAGAGACAGGGTTTCACTATGTTGACCAGGCTGGAAACCTTTGTCTTTATTACTTTTGGACATTTGTAACATAGTGAAACAGAATATATGTAAAATATATATGAAGGGATATTCTGAAAATAGTATTTCAGAATAACATTTAATTTTTACCTTGGTTTTCTGACTCTTAAAAAGCTGTTGGTTTTTTAGATGTTCTCATTACCCATTTCACTGATAATGTAAATACTGTAGCTTTTACTGTTTCAAGATTACCTTCATGTTAATAATTAACAAAGACCTGTGACTTGGTATAACAATAGAAATTTGTGTTGACCTTTTGAAAGCCTTTATAAGAATGTCTCAGTATATAGTGGACTTTGGATATTTGAAATGGCAAAATATTGCCTGAGTTGTCCAATGCTTATTACGCATGAGGAGTAATATTAGGAGCACCATTATTGAGCAGTTACCATTTATCAGGAGATGGGCTCAAGTGTATTACATATAGTACATCTCATTTAATCAGCATAATACATCTCATTTATCTTTACAACAATTATGAAGTTGGCTTTATTATTTCTGTTCTACAGCTAGAAAACAGGCTCGGTCAAGTTGTTGACGGTCCCATAGCTAGTAATTTCAAAACTGAGATTTAGTAATCCAGACTGTACTTCAAAATGTTTGTTAGTAATCTCTGCTTTACTTCCTCTTTAAATTCATTTTCACATAAAAAACGTTTCATAAATATAAAAATTATTTAGGGTGTTCACTTTAAATTGAATATGTTATTGTAAATTGTACCATCTCTCTCTGAGTGAAATACTACTTTTAATGAGGCCTGAAAGGGTACTTTTTAATCACTGGGTTAAAATAACAGTTGATAAACTATATGTGTTTCTTTTGAATAAAATAATAATTAAATCATGATTCCTCTTATTTTGAGCATATCACTCTTCTTTTTTTTTTTTTTTTTTTGAGACAGAGTTTCACTCTTGTTGTCCAGGCTGGAGTGCAATTGCACGATCTCGGCTCACGGCAACCTCTGCCTCCCAGGTCCAAGTGATTCTCCTGTCTCAGCCTCTTGAGTAGCCACGCCCGGCTAATTTTGTATTTTTAGTAGAGACGGGGTTTCTCCATGTTGGTCAGGCAGGTCTCAAACTCCTGACCTCAGGTTCGGGAGTTGGCCTCCCAAAGTGCTGGGATTACAGGCGTGAGCCACTGCGCCCGACCACATATCACTCTTTTTTTTTTTTTTTTTTTTTGAGACAGAGTCCTGCTCTGTCGCCCAGACTGGTGTGCAGTGGCGCGATCTCAGCTAACTGCAAGCTCCGCCTCCCCGGTTCACTCCATTCTCCTGCCTCAGCCTCCCGAGTAGCTGGGACTACAGGCGCCCGCCACCACGCCTGGCTAATTTTTTGTATTTTTAGTAGAGACCGGGTTTCACCGTGTTAGTCAGGGTGGTCTGTATCTCCTGACCTTGTGATCCGCCCACCTGGGCCTTCCAAAGTGCTGGGATTACAGGTGTGAGCCACTGCGCCTGGCCCACATACCACTCTTTTAACAAATTCATACTCTTCCTGAATACAGAGACACGGTTCTTAATGCCTGAAGGCTCATACTCTTACTTTTGGGAATAGAATCCTTTACTGTACATGTCTGAAAACCATGTTTTCGTTTCTTCAGGCTTAAAATTTGATTCAAAGTATATGAATTTCAGAGTGCGAGCTTGTAACAAGGCTGTGGCTGGAGAGTATTCTGATCCAGTGACTCTAGAGACCAAAGGTGAGATCAGTAGCTCTTTATACAGCATAAAACAAAGCTTAACATCTGAAGTTATTCATAACTTTGTAACAGGAAGCACTTCATGTGATGTTGAATTACTTCTCTACTTCTCCTAGCCTAGCTTTCTCAACAGTAAGAATTTTAAGGGAAAATAGGACTACAGTAGTGGTTTTCATTGGGTTTTCTTATATGATTTTATTTATACAGATAAAATAGACTGAGATGATGGTATTGTATTCTCTGGGAGATGCTTAATTTATAAATTTCAATCTTGTTATAAATAGGTAAGTATCACTGAGATTTGCCCAGAGTTTTCCCATAGAATGGATTATGAATCAATATTGGGGAAGTATCTGTTTAGTTCAGGTCCTCTCTGTTTTCCTGTATCTTATTGCAACAGTTAACGTTTATATAGTTTATTAATGGTTACAAAACACTTTCAATTCTTTATTAGATAATTAAAGTCATCTTGAGAGATCAATATGCTAGATATTATTGATACCCATATTGCAGATGAAAAAATAGAGTTTTCATATATTAAATGACTTTCCCATGATCCCTAGACCTAGTTTGGAAAGGTGTGAATAAGAATCCACTTCTGAGTTTTGTGCCAGCCCTTACTATGAGCCTGGAACCTAGGTTCTTCTAGTCTCTGAAAGCAATTGGGGTTTAATGAAAACTCCCTAGAGTAGCAGACTTGAATACAGAGGATTTTTTAGATATTTACCAATTTGAAGGTTATAATGCTGGAGACTTTCCTAGTTGTGAGATGGTTATTGACTGGGTTTAATTCCAGAACCAGACTCTACACATTCTTGTAGGCACTTGGGACTTAAGGCATTCCACTGACCTCTAGTTCATATAGCATTTGAATAGGTTTACCTGCCAGAAATTTGATTGGATTTGGAGGATGACAAAAAAAATCATATAATAAAACAAAATATAAGGCCTATAAGTTATTGATGAGACAAACTCAGAAAAATGTTTGCATCACAAAGGTCTGAAATAAAGTCTATCTTGAAGTAATTTGTTTGGATTAGCAGATGTTTCTATTTGAGAACTATAGGTAACTTAGCCAAGGAATGCAGTTAACTCTGTATTACATGTTATCAAACTGAGATGTTATTGTGGTTTCTGTAGAGGTTTTTACCATTTTAAAATAATAGTCATATGTAGGCAGATAATCTTTTCTATATAACTTGAACTGTTTTTAGCCCATCAAGTAAAATTCATTACTATTATTCTTCCTCAAGAGCATCATATTTTTAAAATTTCTTTTGTTTCTTTTCATTTACTGTTCATATTTAATGACCAAAGTTGGACCTAAATGTGGTGAATTATAATTTCTATGCAAATTTCATAGATACAGGAAAATGAATCACTGGCTTGTGGTTTTCTTCCAGCTGGGCTGGCTGCTCCTATTAGCAGTGATTGGATGTTACTGGTCAAACTCTTAATCATGGGGTTTGTAGAGAGAAACTAAGTTGATTCTAGGCCTTTTCAGCACTTCTTCACTGTTGAGTAAACCCTCTGCGGTAGGAATAGACTGAAACTCAACTCTGAGACCCACAAAACAGTGATTCTGACCTTCAGGGAGTTCCAGAATAAAGTTAGACTCCTACATGGCCATGAGTCACAGATTTTCTAGGGTTATTCCATAGCATTAGTGGGGCTACTAATGAGAGTAAGAGCTGCAGAGGAAAAGTCCACATTTTTACCAATGACACACTGAACAGTTGTTTACCAATTTATTTGGCTTGTTGCAGCCTTTTTCAACCAACCAGTAGAAATTAGGGTATGGACAAAAAACTGGAGAGAAAGGAAGAAAGGTGGAGATTGAGTAGTTGAGCCTACCAAAATTTCATATACTTCCACTTAAGGTTCTTGATATGGAAAATAGTGAACATTGTTTACTTCTGCCCTCCAACATATGAAGCACTATTTCTTCTGGCATTGAAATTCTCAGAAGTCATGAGTAATATAAGTTCTTATCACCAGAATATTTAGAGTATATTATTAGTTATTTTCTTGTGAAGGTAAATGATATTAAATTACTAAATCACAAATTATTCTCCAACTTTAATTGATAGCAGCTATGATATAATTTTATAGTACCAAGAAAGCAGCCACTCGCACAAGTTAAACATATGAAACATATCTGTACTCTGATTTTTGGTACTTTGTTTTCACAGACTATTAAAGATACGGGAACCAGTATCTAGTTATATTATAGGACTTATACAAGAGATAGGACCTCACTTTTGAGGCTAGTCTTTTTTTTTTTTTTAACTATAGAGTATTATCTCTGTTACATTAGAGGAGCTCTATAACTTAACTGAGGTCCATAAGGGGTAGTGTCCACAAAGAAAGAGAGATACGAAAATGACACTCCTTAGGCTTGAAATCCATGCCTTTTTGTTTGGATGCTGCAGTATTTAATAAGTATGGTCTTAAGTGGTTTTCAATGGTACTATCTATTTTTTTTTTTTGCCACCTTTGACACCAGTATTGCTGGTGGCCCTTCTCTCCAGCATAACAAACATTAGGGGACAGCCTTAGGATTTCTTCCTTTTTTAAAAAAACAGCCTTAGGATTTTAGCAAGCAGTTGAGAATTGGTGGCACCTTAGAGTTAAATCCAATATTCTTTCTCAAAAATGTAGAAGCTCTCACATGCATTACCTAGTAGCTCACATATAGATGTTAACTTTATTAAGGCAGTTCATTCTTGGAAATGCAGGGTATAAGTTTTACTTAATCCTAACCTTTTGGTAACCTGTCTATTAAGGAATTCTATTTCTGTTTTTACTAAAAAGCTGCATGATTGCTGCATTATCTCTTTTTTCTGTAAGTTCATTTCTGTTTAAATGCAGATGTTGAAAGCTGTGAACTTCCTTGTACTGTATGACATTTACTGGAAGCTCTGTGGTCAGTAGATTTGTATTCAGAATGTTGTTTCATAAATAAAAAACAATGAACAATAGCTCCAATGCATAGTTGAAATTAAAGTGCTCTTTACAGAACAGTAGGGGATAAAAGGATTATTGATTCATTAGGTAAACAGTTATGTATCATCAAACAAAATAAACCTATAGAGAGTCATAGTTCACAGACACACTGAAGCCTTAGCTAAATTAAGTAATATCCATAAGTGAAATAGGGTTCTGTAAAGGGATACTGTATTTCTTAATATATACTAGAAGTTTGAACCTTTGGAGGGAAATAGAACTAACAGGCAGATTAGTTAGTAACTGTGTAATAGCTGATACCTTGCAAGATAGAGATTCCGAGAGTTATATTTTAAGATAAAAGGAATGGTGTGATTAGCCATGAATCAGTACATTCTAATGATTTACCCTCAGTTTCCAAGGAAAGAAGCTTATACCTTGCTTCACTGATTTCCTAAATTCCTAAAGCAGTTCTGAGTAAGTCTTGTGAAAAGTATAGTTAATTCCTCAAAATATTAAATAATCTGGAAGTCATAGTTTTATGGTTTTTTTTTAAATTTATGTGGTTCTTTTCCCTCTGTACTCTTCGTCATGTAAATTATCTATCAGCTGGGCCAGTTTCCTTGTTCTGCCATCACGGCCTCAGTTTCTCTATGTTTGCCTTACTTTGAAACTGACAGTGTAGGTATGAAATTATTAAATATTAGAGTATCAGAGAAAATGTGTATGCCAGGTTCTATAATTTTTTACACTATGTAATTTTATCCTTCTCCTTAATTCTTCCAGTTCCCCTTCCTATTTAGTCATAACAGTCAACTGATATCCTAATAACAGGAAATTTAGGTTACTGTGTACTCATTGAGATTTTAGTAGAATGAACAGGAGAAATGTCAGTGACCATGCAAGTACATTGTATTTGGTTGGTGTATAGGATATATAGAGAAGAATAATGGGAAATCAGATAAGAATTATAAATTATAGCCTGATTATTGAGAACTTTAAGTGCTAGGATTATGAATTTGAACTTTATTTTCTGTATTCAGTATTGAATTGATTGAGTAGGAAAATAATGTGGTGATAGCTGTGTTTCAGAAAGTGGAGATATGCTATATTTTAAAAATATATTTAAATATTATCTTGAATAGCACTTAACTTCAATTTGGATAACTCCTCATCCCATTTGAACCTGAAAGTTGAAGATACATGTGTAGAGTGGGATCCTACTGGAGGAAAAGGTCAAGAAAGTAAAATTAAAGGAAAAGAGAACAAGGGCAGGTAAGCTAGACCATTAAATCTGCCATATGGACAAATGCTTGTACACTGGTTCTTATTTAACAATAACTTTTATTGAAATTCTTAGTCAATATACCTATGAGAGTTACAGTATATTAGTAGCACCAAAGTGAAGAATATAATACTATTTGTCAGTAGTTTAATAGGTCATTAACATTTTTTATTACTTTTTTTTAGTTTCATCCCTAATCCTCTTACACATTTTCATTTCAGTATTCCATTTCTTTAAAGTTATATATACAGCAACTTGAATTGCTTAGAAGAAGTTTCTAGTATAATTCCTGAATTTTAGACTTATAGATCACCTATCTTACCTGCAGGTCTGGTCTGCACTAAATGACAGCGTTTAATAGGTACAACCCTAGGGTCTTGCCTCTGATCAGCAACACAATGAACCTAAGAGGCAGGTTCAAGGACCTTTTGTTACTGTCATAACTAACTTATTTAAATAAAGTCAAAACATGGGATCCTCTTTCTTTTTTAATAGAAGAAATTTTTGCTCAAACTGAAGATAAATGCCATTGTGAGTTACAGTAATGAATCCCCAAAAATTCCTCAGCAGGCCTTTAATCTGATTTCATTATAAGCTGTTAAATTTAAGTTGTAAAACAGTTTCTTAACAGTTGCCTGTTTTTATCTGACAGTGTCCATGTTACTTCACTGAAGAAACATACAAGGTGATGATCTATGTCTGTCTAGTTCTAGGACTTAGTAAAATCTAGCTTGGCTGATTAAAAAAACTTTAATTTTATCTTTTAACCAATAAGCAGAAGCCATTGCGGCAGCCTTCATAAGCTAAAATACTGCTCTGTGTAGACTGTATTGGTAGCTTATGTTTTGAATTTACATTGTAGTGTGCTGCATATTATTTGGATTATATTGTATATGGTAACAAAATAAGCTCTGCTTTAAAGTCTTTCTTGAATTTTTTTCCCTTATCTGATTTATTTTTCTGCTTTTACTCATACCTGGCATCTTTCTTGTTGTACTGAATAATATTCGTTAGTCTAACATTATAGCTTCGCTTTTATTTGTATTTGACACACAGCAGGTTTGAAGAGTTCTCTGTTTTATAATAATTAGGCAGTTTCAGGAGCAACAAGGATAAAAAATAAAGGCCATTGCTAAAATTATCAAGACAGTTCCAGAAAGATGAATGGTTTCAATTTGCATGAGTAATAATGTGCTTATTTGAAGATACTACATATCTTTACTGGAAACCAGAATGTGTTCTCTTTTCAAAATTATCTTCCTCTTATTTTCAGTTTATGTACTTGTTATTGGTAAAAGTGATTTTATAGTGTATTATAAATTGGAAAATGCTGAATTTAATAGTCTATGAGTAGACTACATATTTATGATTTAAGGTTATATTATTTCTCCCTTCCTACTTTTTAAGAGTATTTTACGTATAGGCTACTTGTCGAATGTTATATGCATTTATATATTCTTTCCATAAATATTTGTTTGCTGTAGGATGTCTGCTGGATGTTATAGGATTTATAGGGATAAACACTGTCTCTGCTTTCAAGAAATTTGCCCTAACTTATGTAGATGAGATGTATGTACAAGTAGCAATAATGCAAGGTAGACATATGTAGAATTGTAAGTGTGAATAAAGGTATTCAGAGGAAGAAAGATGCCCAGAGCTGCCAGATGTTGAGGTGGTTAGGTAGGATAGCCAAACTAAAGGTAATAATCAAGCCTTTATTGATTTGCTGTGATAGTATAAGCAAGAGGCCACAAAGGAAAGAGTATCCACTACCCCAGTGTTCAATTTTTCCCAACAGAATGGCACTGGGTGAAGGTCATGTAAATCAACACAGATCACAAGTAGTGGATCTTCTCACTGCCAGCAAGCCCCAAACAAAAAGGTTCCTGCCAGTTTATGGGCCTGAGAGTCAAGAAGGTGGGGAGTGAGGGGCTAAAATGGGAAAGATACTAAAACAGAGTGGAGAAAAGTGTTTTCAGACCATCACTCCTCCCCTGACCTCTGCCCTAAAGCAGTTTTACGCAGAGACACCTGAAAAGCAACTCAGCCTAGGGCCTCCCTCCAGTAAGGGGACCTCTGAATAGAGGTGCCTAGGGTAGGATTGCAGATACGGTATATGATCATGATGGGGAGAAGAGTGGAATTGCAACTCTCTCTCGAAACTACAGTGCACTAGCTGTGCACCAAGTCTGGTGCGAGAAGGGCAGCTCACCCTACCCTGTGCCCCCACCCTGCCTCATCAACGCCCGCCTACGCTTGGGCCTGAAAGATCACATACAGGGCACATGCGCGTCACTAGATGGCACGGCTGTCTTCTTTCCAGGAGAATTTCCCAAGGACTGCTGGCTGGAAGTTTGTGGCTAATGTGGAGCTGACCGTAGTTTGCCAAATTAAGAAAACGCGCCAGGCATTCTTAGGAAGAAAGATGTGCCAGATTTGATCTTTAAGATGGCTAAATAGGAACAGCTCCAGTCTGCAGCTCCCAGCAAGATAGACGCAGAAGGCAGGTGATTTCTGCATTTCCAACTGGGGTACCCGGTTCATCTCATTGGGACTGGTTGGACAGTGGGTGCAGCCCATGGAGGGCGAGCTGAAGCAGGGTAGAGTGTTGTCTCACCCAGGAAGTGCAAGGGGTCAGGGAATTTTCTCCCCTACCCAAGGGAAGCCATGAGGGACAGAGCCTGAGGAACGGTGCACTCCGGTTCAGATACTGCACTTTTCCCACAGTCTTTACAACCTGCAGATGAGGAGATCCCTTCTGGTGCCTACCCCACCAGGGCCCTGGGTTTCAGGCACAAAACTGGGTGGCCGTTTAGGCAGACACCAAACTAGCTGCAGAAGGTTTTTTTTTTTTTTTCCATACTCCAGTGGCGCCTGGAACACCAGTGAGACAGAACCATTCACACCTTTGGAAAGGGATGCTGAAACCAGGGAGCCAAGTGGTCTGGCTGGGCGGGTCCCACCCCCATGGAACCCAGCAAACTAAAATCCACTGGCTTGAAATTCTTGCTGCCAGCACAGCAGCAGTCTGAGACTGACCTGGGACGCTATAGCTTGGTCGGGGGAGGGGCGTCTGCCATTGCTGAGGCTTGAGTAGGTGGTTTTCCCCTCATAGTGTAAACAAAGCTGCTGGGAAGTTCGAACTAGGTAGAGCCCACTGCAGCTCAGCAAGGCCACTGTGGCCAGACTGCCAGATTTCTCCTCTCTGAGCAGGCCATCTCTGAAAAAAAGGCACCAGCGTCAGTCAGGGACTTATAGATAAAACCCCTATCTCCCTGGGACAGAGCCCCTGGGGGAAGGGGCAACTGTGGGTGCAGCTTTAGCGACTTAAACGTTCCTGCCTGACAGCTCTGAAGAAAGCAGCGGACCTCCAAGCACAGAGTTCAAGCTCTGCTAAGGGTCAGACTGCCTCCTCAAGTGGGTCCTTGACCCCCGTGAATCCTGACTAGGAGACACCTCCCAGTAGGTGCCGATAGATACCTCATACAGGAAAGCTCTGGCTAGCATCTGGCAGTTGCCCCTCTGGGACGAAGCTTCCAGAGGAAAGAACAGGCAGCAGTCTTTGCTGTTGTGCAGCCTCCGCTGGTGATACCCAGGCCAACAGGGTCTGGAGTGGACCTCCAGCAAACTCCAGCAGACCTGCAGCAGAGGGGCCTGACTGTTAGAAGGAAAACTAACAAACAGAAAGGAATAGCACATCCACTCAAAGACCCCATCCGAAGGTCACCAACATCAAATACAGAAGGTAGACACATCCACAAAGATGGGGAGAAACCAGCGCAAAAAGGCTGAAAATTCCAAAAGCCAGAATGCCTGTTGTCCTCCAAAGGATCACAGCTCCTTGCCAGCAAGGGAACAAACCTGGATGGAGAATGAGTTTGACGAATTGACAGAAGTAGGCTTCAGAAGGTGGGTAATAACAAACTCCTCCAAACTAAAGGAGCATGTTCTAACCTAATGCAAGGAAGCTAAGAACCTTGAAAAAAGGTTAGATGAATTGCTAACTAGAATAACCAGTTTAGAGAAGAATATAAATGACCCGATGGAGCTGAAAAACACAGCACGAGAACTTCGTGAAGCAAACAAAAGTATCAATAGCTGTATCAATCAAGTGGAAGAAAGGATATCAGACATTGAAGATCAACTTAATGAAATAAAGCGAGAAGACAAGATTAGAGAAAAAAGAATAATAGGGAATGAACAAAGGCTCCAAGAAATATGGGACTATGTGAAAAGACCAAATCTACATTTGATTGGTGTACCTGAAAGTGATGGGGAGAATGGAACCAAGTTGGAAACACTCTTCAGGGTATTATCGAGGAGAACTTCCCCAACCTAGCAAGACAGGCCAACATTCAAATTCAAGAAATACAGAGAGCACCACAAACATACTCCTCAAGAAGAGCAACCCCAAGAAACCTAATTGTCAGATCCACCTAGGTTGAAATGAAGGGCAGCCAGAGAGAAAGGTTGGATTACCCACAAAGGGAAGCCCATCAGACTAACAGCAGATCTCTCTGCAGAAACCCCACAAGCCAGAAGAGAGTGGGGGCCAATATTTAACATTCTTAAAGAAAAGAATTTTCAACCCAGAATTTCATATCCAGCCAAACTAAGCTTCATAAGTGAAGGAAAAATAAAATCCTTTACAGACAAGCAAATGCTGAGAGATTTTGTCAGCACCAGGCCTGCCTTACAAGAGCTCATGAAGGAAGCACTAAACATGGAAAGAACCATTGGTACCAGCCACTGCAAAAACATACCAAATTGTAAAGACTATCGACACTATGACGAAACTGCATCAACTAATAGGCAAAATAACCAGCTAGCATTATAATGACAGGATCAAGTTCACACACAACAATATTAACCTTAAATGTAAACGGGCTAAGTGCCCCAATTAAAAGACACAGACTGGCAAACTGGATAAAGAGTCAAGACCCATCAGTATGCTATATTCAGGAGACCCATCTCACATGCAAAGACAAACATAGGCTCAAAATAAAGGGATGGAGGAATATTTACGAAGCAAATGGAAAGCAGAAAAAAGCAGGAGTTGCAACCCTAATCTTTGATAAAACAGACTTTAAACCAACAAAGATCAAAAGAGACAAAGAAGGGCATTACATAATGGTAAAGGGATCAATGCATCAAGAAGAGCTAACTATCCTAAATATATATGCACCCAACACAGGAGCACCCAGATTCATAAAGCAAGTTCTTAGAGACCAACAAAGAGAATTAGACTCCCATACAGTAATAGTGGGAGACTTTAACATCCCACTGTCAATATTAGACAGATCAATGAGACAGAAAATTAACAAGGATATTCAGGACTTGAACTCAGCTCTGGATCAAGCGGACGTAATAGACATCTATAGAACTCTCCACCCGAAATCAACAGAATATACATTCTTCTCAGCACCTCGTCACACTTATTCTAAAATTGACCACATAATTGGAAGTAAAACACTCCTCAGCAAATGCAAAAGAATGGAAATCATAACAGTCAGTCTCTCAGACCACAGTGCAATCAAATTAGAACTGAAGATTAAGAAACTCACTTAAAACCACACAACTATGTGGAAACTGAACAACCTGCTCCTGAATGACTACTGGGTAAATAACGAAATGAAGGCAGAAATAAAGATGTTCTTTGAAACCAATGAGAACAAAGACACAATGTACTAGAATCTCTGGGACACATTCAAAGCAGTGTGTAGAGGGAAATTTATAGCACTAAATGCCCACAAGAGAAAGCAGGAAAGATCTAAAATTGACATACTGACATGAAAATGAAAAGAACTAGAGAAGCAACAGCAAACAAATTCAAAAGCTAGCAGAAGACAAGAAATAACTAAGATCAGAGCAGAACTGAAGGAGATAGAGACACTAAAAACCTTTAAAAAAATCAGTGAATCCAGGAGCTGGTTTTTTGAAAAGATCAACAAAATAGACCACTAGCCCGACTAATAAAGAAAAAAAGAGAGAAGAATCAAATAGATGCAATAAAAAATGATATAGGGGATATCACCATTGATCCCACAGAAATACAAACTACCATCAGAGAATATTATAAACACCTCTATGCAAATAAACTAGAAAATCTAGAATGGATCAATTCCTGGACACATACACCCTCCCAAGTCTAAACCAGGAAGAAGTCGAATCCCTGAATAGACCAATAACAAATTCTGAAATTGAGGCAGTAATTAATAGCCTAGCAACCAAAAAAAGTCCAGGACCAGACAGACTCACAGCCAAATTCTACCAGAGGTACAAAGAGGAGCTGGTGTCATTCCTTCTGAAACTATTCCAAACAATAAAAAAAGACAAACTCCTCCCTAACTCATTTTATCAGGCCAGCATCATCCTGATACCAAAACCTGGCAGAGACACAACAAAAAAAAATTTCAGGCCAATATCCCTGATGAACATTGATGCGAAAATCCTCAATAAAATACTGGCAAACCGAACCCAGCAGCACATCAAAAAGCTATCCACCACAATCAAGTCGGCTTCATCCTTAGGATGCAAGGCTGGTTCAACATATAGAAATCAATAAATATAATCCATCACATAAACAGATCCAATGACAAAAACCACATGATTATCTCAATAGATGCAGAAAAGGCCTTTGACAAAATTCAACTCCCCTTCATGCTAAAAACTCTCAATAAACTAGGTATCGATGGAATGTATCTCAAAATAATAAGAGCTGTTTATGCAAACCCACAGCCAGTATCATACTGAATGGGCAAAAACTGGAAGCATTCACTTTGAAAACCAGCACAGAGGGAGAGAGTTGTGCTGCTGCCTCCGAGAGCTCCACCTTCGTGGCTCTGGATCCGGGGCCCCGGCCTGTGGCGGCGAGCGGCGGCCGCTGGAGACGAGCGGCGGCGGCAGGCGGCCAGCCCGGGTCTACCTCGCTCCGTGCAGGGCCGGGAGAGGGATCCGCCATATTGGAGCTGGGGCCGAAGGTGCCTTGGAGCCGCGGCGCGAGGCGGGTGGAGGTGGCGGCCCTGGCCTGGATCGGGGAGGAGTCGGCTCTGCCCTGGCCCGCAAGGCTGGGGAGCTAATGAGCCTCTCTGGCTAGTCTCCTCCCCGTCCACTCCCTCCACTTTCTGCCGCTGGGAGCCGGCTGTGGCAGTGGCAGTGGCAGTGGCAGTGGCAGCGGCAGGATGTTCTCCAAGAAGCCGCACGGGGACGTGAAGAAGTCCACCCAGAAGGTGCTAGACACCAAGAAGGACGCACTGACTCGCCTCAAGCACCTGCGCATCGTCATCGAGTTAATGGTGGAACTGGCTGAAGAAGATGCATTCATCCAGATGCCTGAATCCTAGTTCAGAGTTTATCTCGAGCTGTCTTCCTGATGCGTATTTGTTTTGGAAAGTGATGTTTATTTAGTGAAAAAAAGAATGCAGAATCTATTGATCTTAAACAGTTTTTCGACAACATTTTTTACATATATACTATGTGTTCTTTGAAAATTTTGTGACTATCGAAGCTAGTCTTAAACAGAAAGGTCACAAGTCTCAAAGAGAGGAACTGGATGCTATACTTTTTATTTTTGAGAAAATTTTACAACTTCTTCCAGAAAGAATTCATCAGCCATGGCAGTTTCATAATATTGGATTGATTTAAAGAAGCTACTTCACACAGGAGACTCCTTAAAGATTAGGCGGGAAGGTGTTCGTCTTTTCTTACTATGGTTGCAAGCTCTTCAGAATAACTGTAGCAAAGAACAGCTCTGGATGTTTTCATGCTTAATCCCTGGATTTTCAGCACCACAGTCTGAACATGGACCTCGAACTTTAGATAATCTCATTAATCCTCCACTCAACCTTTAAGAAACTCAAGTCACTATAGAAGAAATCACTCCTCTTGTCCCCCCACAATCAGGAGATAAAGGGCAAGAAGATCTCACAAGCTATTTTCTTGAAGCACTTCTAAAATACATAGTCATTCAGGTAAAAAGTTTAGAATGGAAGAACAAAGAAAACCAAGAAAGGGGATTTTCATTTTTGTTTTCACATTTTAAGAAATATTACTTGCCTTATATTTTTCCAAACATCTGTAAGGAAAACAGTTTATATCATCCTATACTTGACATCCCGCAGATGAGACCAAAGCCACATTATGTCATGATAAAGAAAGATGCTGAAACCAATGAAGCAATCTATTGTACAAAGGAGCCTTTCATTAAGGCTCGTGTTATTGTCATTCGTTGGCTGGTTTCTTTCTGGCTGGAGCCAAAACCACATACAGGACCTCATATTCCTGGGATGGAAGGTGAAGTCTTGCCAAAGAATATTCAGAGAGCAGCTGCTAGTTTAGTATCCAGAGAAGAAAGCAAAAATGATAATGCTGATAAAGCAGACAGAACTACAGAACCCGAACAGTCTCATTCCAATACAAGCACTCTCACGGAGCGAGAACCTAGCTCATCTAGTCTCTGTAGTATTGATGAAGAACATCTCACAGACATTGAAATAGTTCGCAGAGTTTTTTCTTCTAAAAGGAGTAATGTAAACTTTGTGACAGAGATATTTCGTCAGGCATTTTTATTACCAATTTGTGAAGCAGCAGCTATGAGAAAAGTGGTAAAAGTATATCAAGAATGGATCCAACAAGAGGAAAAACCTTTGTTCATGCAAGAGCCTGAAGAAATTGTGATCACTTCTTCAGACCTCCCTTGCATTGAAAATGTCACAGACCATGATATTTCAATGGAAGAAGGAGAAAAAAGAGAAGAGGAAAATGGGACCAATACTGCTGATCATGTTCGAAATTCCAGTTGGGCAAAAAACGGCTCCTACCAAGGTGCTCTTCATAACACCTCTGAAGAAGCCACAGAACAAAACATACGAGCTGGTACCCAGGCAGTTTTGCAGGTGTTTATTATAAACTCATCAAATATATTTCTTCTTGAACCTGCAAATGAAATAAAAAATCTTCTGGATGAACACACAGATATGTGTAAACGCATTCTTAACATTTATCGGTACATGGTTGTACAAGTATCAATGGACAAAAAGACTTGGGAACACATGCTGCTTGTGTTGCTCAGAGTCACGGAATCTGTACTGAAGATGCCATCACAAGCTTTTCTACAGTTCCAAGGGAAAAAAAATATGACCTTGGCAGGTCGACTTGCAGGACCACTTTTCCAGACCCTTATAGTTGCCTGGATCAAAGCAAACCTAAATGTGTACATCTCCCGAGAACTTTGGGATGACTTACTGTCAGTATTGTCATCGTTGACCTATTGGGAAGAGTTGGCCACTGAGTGGTCACTGACTATGGAGACATTAACTAAAGTTTTAGCTAGGAATTTATATAGTTTGGATCTCAGTGATTTACCATTGGATAAGCTGAGTGAACAGAAACAAAAAAAGCACAAAGGGAAAGGAGTTGGACATGAATTTCAGAAAGTTTCAGTTGACAAGTCATTTTCTAGAGGATGGAGTCGTGATCAGCCTGGCCAAGCCCCAATGAGACAGAGGAGTGCAACAACCACTGGTTCTCCAGGAACCGAAAAGGCGAGGAGTATAGTACGGCAAAAAACTGTCGATATTGATGATGCTCAAATACTTCCCCGCTCAACTAGAGTCAGACATTTTTCACAAAGTGAAGAAACTGGAAATGAAGTTTTTGGTGCTTTGAATGAGGAGCAGCCATTGCCTTGAAGTAGCAGCACTTCTGACATCTTGGAACCATTCACTGTTGAACGAGCCAAAGTCAATAAAGAGGACATGAGCCAAAAACTGCCTCCTCTTAATAGTGATATTGGCAGCAGCAGTGCTAATGTTCCTGATCTGATGGATGAGTTTATAGCAGAATGACTTCGAAGTGGTAATGCCTCGACTATGACAAGAAGAGGAAGTAGTCCAGGCAGCCTGGAAATTCCCAAAGACCTCCCTGATATTCTAAACAAGCAGAACCAGATGCGCCCTATTGATGACCCAGGTGTGCCCTCAGAATGGACTTCTCCTGCCAGTGCAGGGAGCAGTGATCTTATCAGCTCAGATAGTCATTCGGATTCTTTCAGCGCTTTCCAATATGATGGCCAAAAATTTGACAATTTTGGCTTTGGAGCCGACACTGGGGTTACGTCCTCTGCTGATGTGGATTCAGGTTCTGGCCATCATCAGAGTGCTGAAGAGCAGGAAGTGGCTAGTCTAACTACTCTTCATATAGATTCTGAAACAAGCAGTCTTAATCAGCAAGCTTTCTCTGCTGAAGTTGCAACTATTACTGGTTCAGAAAGTGCTTCCCCAGTCCACTCACCTCTGTGCTCCAGGTCACAGACTCCTTCCCCTTCTACATTGAATATAGATCACATGGAACAGAAGGATCTGCAGCTCGATGAGAAGCTCCACCACGCTGTTCTTCAGACACCAGATGATCTAGAAATTAGTGAATTTCCATCAGAATGTTGTAGTGTGATGGCAGGAGGTACTCTGACTGGATGGCATGCTGATGTTGCTACTGTAATGTGGCGAAGAATGCTAGGCATTTTGGGAGATGTAAATTCAATCATGGATCCTGAAATACATGCTCAAGTTTTTGATTACCTCTGTGAACTTTGGCAGAATCTAGCTAAGATTAGAGATAACCTCGGCATTTCAGCTGATAACCTGACCTCCCCTTCTCCACCAGTTTTAATTCCTCCACTGAGAATTCTTACACCTTGGCTTTTTAAGGCAACCATGTTGACTGATAAATATAAACAAGGTAAATTACATGCATATAAACTTATTGGTAATACAATGAAAAGAAGACAAGATGTTTCTCCAAATAGAGATTTTCTAACACATTTCTACAATATAATGCATTGTGGATTACTTCATATTGACCAGGATATTGTCAATACAATCATCAAACACTGCTCACCTCAATTTTTTTCACTTGGTTTGCCTGGTGCCACAATGCTTATTATGGATTTTATTGTAGCAGCTGGTAGAGTGGCTTCTTCAGCTTTTCTCAATGCACCAAGAGTAGAAGCACAAGTTCTTCTGGGATCTTTGGTTTGCTTTCCCAACTTATATTGTGAACTGCCTTCTCTTCATCCCAACATTCCTGATGTTGCTGTGTCTCAGTTTACAGATGTTAAGGAACTTATAATCAAAACTGTATTAAGCTCGGCAAGAGATGAGCCCTCTGGTCCTGCACGATGTGTAGCACTTTGTAGTTTAGGTATTTGGATTTGTGAAGAACTAGTCCATGAGTCTCATCATCCTCAAATTAAGGAAGCTCTGAATGTGATTTGTGTTTCCTTAAAGTTTACTAATAAAACAGTAGCCCACGTAGCTTGTAACATGCTTCACATGCTGGTTCATTATGTACCTAGACTTCAGATTTACCAGCCTGATTCTCCCTTGAAAATTATTCAGATCCTAATAGCTACCATCACCCATCTTTTACCAAGTACAGAGGCTTCATCTTATGAAATGGACAAGAGGTTGGTAGTATCTTTACTTCTCTGCCTTCTGGACTGGATCATGGCCTTACCTCTAAAGACACTGCTCCAACCATTTCATGCTACGGGAGCAGAAAGCGATAAAACAGAAAAATCTGTTCTCAATTGCATTTATAAGGTTTTACATGGGTGTGTTTATGGAGCTCAGTGTTTTAGCAATCCAAGGTATTTTCCCATGAGCCTCTCTGATTTGGCATCTGTAGATTATGATCCTTTTATGCATTTGGAAAGTCTGAAAGAGCCTGAGCCTCTGCGCTCTCCTGACTCAGAACGATCTTCTAAACTCCAGCCAGTAACAGAAGTGAAAACTCAAATGCAGCATGGATTAATCTCTATAGCAGCCCGCACTGTTATTACACATCTGGTAAATCACCTGGGCCATTATCCAATGAGCGGTGGTCCTGCTATGCTAACAAGTCAGGTGTGTGAAAATCACGACAATCATTACAGTGAAAGTACTGAACTTTCTCCTGAACTCTTTGAGAGTCCAAATATCCAGTTCTTTGTGTTAATAATACAACCTTAGTGTCCTGTATCCAGATCAGATCAGAAGAGAATATGCCTGGAGGAGGTTTATCTGCTGGCCTTGCATCAGCCAATTCAAATGTCAGAATCATAGTACGTGATCTCTCTGGAAAATATTCATGGGATTCTGCTATACTGTATGGCCCACCTCCTGTAAGTGGCTTGTCAGAACCTACATCTTTCATGCTTTCATTGTCTCACCAAGAGAAGCCAGAAGAGCCTCCGACATCTAATGAATGCTTAGAAGATATAACCGTAAAAGATGGACTTTCCAGTTTAAAAGATTTAGAGAAACTGTACCAACTTGGGATACAATAAGAGATGAAGAAGATGCTCTTGATGAACTCTTGCAGTATTTGGGTGTTACTAGTCCTGAATGCTTACAGAGAACTGGAATCTCACTTAATATTCCTGCTCCACAACCTGTGTGCATTTCTGAAAAACAAGAAAGTGATGTTATTAATGCTATCCTTAAGCAACATACAGAAGAAAAAGAATTTGTTGAGAAGCACTTTAATGACTTAAACATGAAAGCTGTGGAACAAGATGAACCAATACCTCAAAAACCTCAGTCAGCATTTTATTATTGCAGATTGCTTCTTAGTATATTGGGAATGAATTCCTGGGACAAACGGAGGAGCTTTCATCTCCTGAAGAAAAATGAAAAGCTACTTAGAGAACTTAGGAACTTGGATTCAAGGCAGTGCCGAGAGACACACAAGATTGCAGTATTTTATGTTGCTGAAGGACAAGAAGACAAACACTCCATTCTCACCAATACAGGAGGAAGTCAAGCATATGAAGATTTTGTAGCTGGTCTTGGTTTGGAGGTAAATCTTACAAACCATTGTGGTTTTATGGGAGGACTACAAAAAAACAAAAGCACTGGATTGACCACTCCATATTTTGCTACCTCTACAGTAGAAGTAATATTTCACATGTCAACAAGAATGCCTTCTGATTCTGATGATTCTTTGACCAAAAAATTGAGACATTTGGGAAATGATGAAGTGCACATTGTTTGGTCAGAGCATACTAGAGACTACAGGAGAGGAATTATTCCCACAGAATTTGGTGATGTCCTTATTGTAATATATCCAATGAAAAATCACATGTTCAGTATTCAGATAATGAGAAAACCAGAGGTTCCCTTCTTTGGTCCCCTTTTTGATGGTGCTATTGTGAATGGAAAGGTTCTACCCATTATGGTTAGAGCAACAGCTATAAATGCAAGCCGTGCTCTGAAATCTCTGATTCCATTGTATCAAAACTTCTATGAGGAGAGAGCACGATACCTGCAAACAATTGTCCAGCACCACTTAGAACCAACAACATTTGAAGATTTTGCAGCACAGGTTTTTTCTCCAGCTCCCTACCACCATTTACCATCTGATGCCGATCATTAAATATCAGTTCTGTTTATCTGAAGGCTCCTACCCAGAGATTCTACCCAGTGAAACTCCCACAGCAGCGCAGGTAGATGGGGCTGACCTGGCCTCTCCAATGTCTCCTCGAACTAGCAAAAGCCGCATGTCCATGAAGCTGCGTCGTTCCTCTGGCTCAGCCAATAAATCCTAAGGAGACAAGCAGCCCAGCAGTGATCAGCAGTAGCCACCTTAGCATGAACATAGGGTTAACCCTTTCAGGCCTTCATGTCTGCCATAACATGCATGTTTCTTCCTGTACATTTATTTGAGAAAACACTGGATTTAAATAATTTTAAATAATTTGTAGCTTAATATTAAAGATTTAAGTTATTTATTGTTTCATTTTTTTCCCACAATCCAAGCTGCCATATTTTGAGGGCAGGGGGAGTTTTATTCTACACCCTTTACCTTCCTAGATAATTATGTCTAAGTAGTTTTATCTTTAATTTCATGGTTAACTGTGAGCCAAAATACAATTGGACAATTAGTCTCATTATTTATTGTGCTCCATTGCAACTTTATGGTTCAATAAATATATAATTTTTTACAAATGTAAAATTTTACATTTAAGCATTTGTAAAGTTACAGCAAAAGATGTACCTGTTAATACACAGAATGTGTACAGATTATTTGTTATGACAATAAAACACTCAAAATAAATGGTCTTTAGCATCTCAAATTCCAACTGAAATCATTTTAGTATTAACTCTTCTTCCCAAAGCAATGTCTCATTTCTTGGCTGTGCAGGTGATGCCATGTTATATCCAATAACTAGAAAAATCACTGTGCTGAACTTTTATGTTTAGCTTCCAAGTATTTTTCTAATGTTTTGCATTTCAAGTGGTATCACTGTTAAATGCCATTTGTTTTCAGATTGTGGCCTTTTATTATTGGCTGCTAGATCCTGGTGTTTCTATGTTCTTTTTTAAGCACCAAAAAGAAGATGGGGAAGAAAAGAAGGAAAATTTTCTGATATAAATATGTTGTTCAAATTATGAGTACTATTTAAAAAAGAAAAAGGAACCTAACCCAGGAGTCTAAGTTAAATCTAATATTGTTAATACTGAACTTGCAGGTCCAGGTTGGTATACATTCCACCCTCTAGAAGTATTTTCTTACAGTAGATAAGCTGCTCACATTTTGTTTTGAATGGGCATCTCCTGAGGAAATGTAGCATGATATTGGTACTAACTGCATGTGTAAATACATCATACTGGCAAGCCGTAAAATATAAATTATGTATCATTCACGTAGTATCTATAATTTGTAACAGTGGGGGGAAAAGATGACATGGTATTTAATAATACAATAAAAATATTCTTATCAAAAAAAAAAAAGAAAAGAAAACCAGCACAAGACAAGGATGCCCTCTCTCACCACTCCTACTCAACATAGTATTGAAAGTTCTGACCAGGGCAATCAGGCAAGAGAAAGAAATAAAGCGTATTCAAATAGGAAGAGAGGAAGTCAAATTGTCTCTGTTTGCAGATGACATGATTGTATATTTAGAAAACCCCATCTTTTCAGCCCAAAATCTCCTTAAGCTTATAAGCAACTTCAGCAAAGTCTCAGGATACAAAATCAATATGCAAAAATCACAAACATTCCTATACCCCAATGACAGGCAAACAGAGAGCCAAATCATGAGTGAACTCTTATTCACAATTGCTACAAAGAGAATACGTAGGAATACAACTTACAAGGGATGTGAAGGACATCTTCAAGGAGAACTACAAACCACTACTCAAGGAAATAAGGGAGGACACAAACAAATGGAAAAACATTCCATGCTCATGGATAGGAATAATCAATATCGTGAAAATGGCCATACTGCTCAAAGTAATTTATAGATTCAACGCTATTCCCATCAAGCTACCATTGACTTTCTTCACAGAATTGGAAAAAGCTACTTTAAACTTCATATGGAACCGCCCGCATAGAGAAGACAATCTTAAGCAAAAAGAACAAAGCTAGAGGCATCATGCTACCTGACTTCAAACTATACTACAAGGCTACAGTAACCAAAACAGCATGGCACTGGTACCAAAACAGATACATAGACCAATGGAAGAGAACAGAGACCTAAGAAATAAAACCACACATCTACAACCATCTCATCTTTGACAAACCTGACACAAACAAGCAATGGGGAAAAGATTCCCTATTTAATAAATGGTGTTGGGAGAACTGGCTAGCTATGCAGAAAACTGAAACTGGACCCCTTCCTTACACCTTACACAAAAATCAACTCAAGATGGATTAAAGACTTAAAGATAAGACCTAAAACCATAAAAATCCTGGAAGAAATCCTAGGCAATACCATTCAGGACATAAGCATGGGCAAAGACTTCATGTCTAAAATACCAAAAGCAATGGCAACAAAAGCCAGAATTGACAAATGGAATCTAATTAAACTAAAGAGCTTCTGCACAGCAAAAGAAACTGTCATCAGAGTGAACAGGCAACCTACAGAATGGGAGAAAATTTTTGCAATCTATCCATCTGACAAAGGGCTAATATCCAGAATCTACAAAGAACTTAACCAAATTTACAAGAAAAAAACAACCCCATCGAAAAGTGGGCAAAGGATATGAACAGACACTTATCAAACATATGCTAACAAAGATATTAAAAAAAATGCTCATCATCACTGGTCATTAGAGAAATGCAAATCAAAACCACCATGAGATACCATCTCACGCCAGTTAGAATGGCGATCATGAAAAAGTCAGGAAACAACAGATGCTGGAGAGGATGTGGAGAAATAGGAACTGTTCTACACTGTTGGTGGGAGTGTAAATTAATTAGTTCAACCATTGTTGAAGACAGTGTGGCGATTCCTCAAGGATCTAGAACTAGAAATATCATTTGACCCAGCAATCCCATTACTGGGTATATACCCAAAGGATTTATAAATCCTTCTACTATAAAGTCACATGCACACATATGTTTATCGGGTCACTATTCACAACAGAAAGCCTTGGAACCAATTCAGATGTCCATCAATGATAGACTGGATAAAGAAAATGTGGCACATATACACCATGGAATACTACACAGCCATAAAAAAGGATGAGTTCATGTCCTTTGCAGGGACACTGATGAAGCTGGAAACCATCATTCTCAGAAACTATGACAAGAACAGAAAACCAAACGCCACGTGTTCTCACTCATAAGTGGGAGTTGAACAATGAGAACGCGTGGACACAGAGAGGGGAACATCACACATGGGGCCTGTCGGGGTGGGGGTCTAGAGGTGGAATAGCATTAGGAGAAATTCCTAAGGTAGGTGACCGGTTGATGAGTGCAGCAAACCACCATGACACATGTATACCTATGTAACAAAACTGCACATTCTGCACATGTACCCCAGAACTTTAAGTATAATAATATTAAAAAAAAAAGAGAAAAAAAATCACACACAGGATTTGGGTCTGGAGCAAGAGTCCTGAGACAGGTTATTTAACCTGTTAGAATTTGGGGGACTTTCATTAAAGAAGTGGTATTTAGGCCGGTTCTTGAGCAAGTGGGAAAATGTATGGTTGTTAGACTTGCAGTGAAAGGCGGAACAGCCATAGCAAAGGCACTGAAGCAGATGGTGTGAGTTTAAACAACATTTTGACTGGTATATTTAGCTATATAGTGCTCTCTAGGAGTTAGAAGGCTAGAAAGGCAGATTAGGACTAAATCAAGAACCAGAATGTCATGCTAAGTCGTTTGTAAGTAGTATAGAAGTAAATGATGATTTTTAAATAGAGGAATCAGAGTAAGCTTTATCTTGTAATAATGAAAAAGATGAATTGGACAGTAAAGAAATTATTTGGGAAGCTGGTAAAACAGTCCAGACTAGAGGTAGCTGAAGAGGCTTACTTAAATTCAGATAGTTAAGTGGTCAGGGTGTCCTTTAGGGAAGTGGGGTGAGGGAGGGGATGGGAGGAGATCATGCTTGACATAAAACTTATTATAAGTTGTTTCTTGCAAAAGTGACTTAGGATTGGAAGTCTGGAATGCTGCAATGGAAGAGTTTTCCTTACTTAACTTTTCTCTGAAATTAAACTGCCAATGTCAATAGTTATGTCTGTTTTTCTTTTCTCCATGCTTCCCTTTATTTCTTTACTACTGGTAAGTTACAAATTTTTAAAAATTGTTTTTCTGTTATCAAAAGAGCTCTTAATACATTTTGAAGCAGTGCTAAGTGAAATTTTTCTCTTTATTTGTATGACGTTCACTTTCTATTTGTTGCCCTGAGTTACTTGGGAAATATTTTTCAGAATGCATGTTTCCTCTCAGCAGACACTCTGACCACCAGTTGGGGAGGCAAACTATCAGTGTATTTTGAAAAAGTTTCCTGATTGTTTCTGAATCTGCTGTGCCTTTTCAGTTGACAATCATTGATTTATTACAAAATGCCAAAGGCCTTTGTTTTTTCAATTTAGTACTTTGGCTCAGGAAGATACAGGTGTTCCTTAATTGATAGTATCACATACTCTACTCAGCTGAGCTCATTCTAGTCAGATATTGTACACCTACTCTGTACTGAGGATACAGAGATGAGATGTGGTTCCTAGCAACAGTTAGTTCCCTTCCCTCAGCTACTCCATAGCCAAGTTCCTCACTTGCCGTAACCAATAAGCGCTAAGCATGCCGTATGATAGATTTGTAAAACCTGTCTTTTCATCACCCTTTTAATCCCTACTCCTTGATAGAGGAGTTTTGCTTTGTTTTACCTCAGTGGCTCCTAGCCCAGATGAACAGCAAAATCCTGAAATTCTTAATTTAAAAACCAGACATGTGTTTCTCAAGCCTACCCTCCAGTATCTGATTTAGTAGTTTATGGTAAGTCCTGGTAATTTGCATTTTTAAAAGGTCCCCAAGTGATTCTGATGTGCAGCTGGGTTGAAGAACCACTGGTTTGGTTCATTTAATTCCTCCTCACTCCTGATTACACATTTACTTTAACCTCTCCTCTCCTTTCATTTCATTCTTACCTAGTTACCCAAAACAAAATCTTGTTGACTTTCTTTGCTCTGTTTCTTAGCTGAATAGCAACCATAGTCATGATTGTTAATGGTAAGATAGTACTAGCAATACTAAAAAGCACTGGGGCTTAAAGTGAAGTTAGATATAATGAAGAGCTAGTGTTCTCAGGTTATTGTATCCCATCTTCCTTCTCTAGTTACAAAAGTAATTTTTACAAATACTGACGTGATTAATTAAAACTGTGTTCATTTTTGTATAGTTACCAATATTTGCTGTTGAATAACTTGGGTGGAGGAAGATTAATGTGCAGTCAATTTATGAATTGGTGACTTGATGAATTGGGTAATATTTGGTGACCTCTGCACTCATTTTTTCTGGGAGAATGTACTTTCATTTCAGATAATGTCACATGAACTTTTGGAGAATAACTGTCAACCACAGGAAGTTCTTTTATTATATAGGTGTTCTGGAGACCTAAAAGCTTTTTTGTTATAATTTATATACCGTGTTGAAACAATTTTACTTTCGCCCTCTTCCTTTTCATGTCTTCTTTTAATGTTGCATCTAAAACATTGTTTTTTCACACCTCTTTTTAAGAAAAGCAACAGCATGGTTTCTTTCATGAAATGTTTCCAGAAGCCTGATCCAAAAAGAGAAAAGTATAGCTGGTTAAAGGAGGGAGGAAGCCCTAAATCTGGCTTCTTCCCAGAGTACCTCTGTGGCATCTGTGGATTCCCTTGAGTTCAGCACATGGTTTAAACACCATTGATTTCAAGAGTCTTTGCCCCTCACAAGATCAGGAAAATAGAGCTGCATGTACTATTTTTTTAAACTTTGAGGCAAATGTAATGTTATCTTTTCTCCTGAGCTTAAGATAAAGCTTTTGAAAACATACAGACCTTTTGTGATCGGGCTTTTAACATTCTCTATCAGCTTGTATAAAATGAATCAGAAAGAAAATTATGATACAGTTCTTTTTTCCTGAGTTATCAGTTGACAATGTTTGCAGTTTTACTTTCTTACTATACTAGTTAATGACTCTTACAAGTATTGTATAAGATCAGCTTAGAATACATGTTCATCTCAAACCTTGAAGAAGTGAAAACATATATTTTTGGTATTCAGAATAAAAAGTATAAATGTTTAATAATTTTTATTTGTTTCTATCCTTCATTTTGGAGATCTCAACAACTATTCTGGAATTTTCCCCCCTCACGTTCTGTTTTGCTGTCCCCGTACCCAATAGCAAGAAACTACTGCCTACCTTAGCACAAGTTTCACAGAAATTTTAATCTACCTATCCACATTCAGCTTTGCTCATGCTATCTGTTCAAACAGAACTTATAGTCAGTTTTTAGTTGTCTTTTTAAAGAAACATCTTTACACAAAGGACCTTTGAAATCCCTTGGGAAGAATTAAACTAAGTCATGTGAGTGTTGTAGTTCTAGACTTACACTTTTGCTACTTAATATTATACACTAAAAAGGAGACAGTTGAAGTGGTCCTGAGTTCTTTGAAATTGTCTAATAAGTCTGATTTCTGACAGCAAGACATTTAAATAATGCAGAATGAAGTCACTGAGTCATATGAAATGAATCATATGAAATGACTTTAAGTTTTATCTGTATTCTTGCTTTGCCATCAGGGATTTCTAGTCTAGTATTGGTAGCTTATATTAAAATCTACTCAGTTGATCTTTTCTTAGGAAGAAAATTTCTAGTGCTATGTTAGAAAAAAGTGTTTTTATTTCTAACTAGTGGTGAGAATATAGTTATCCCCATATCCCCCAAATACTTTTAGGATAATCTTGACCAAAAAATCTTTTGTTAAATGCAGTAATTCAATATAATTAAAATGTTTTTGAAAACATCTTTGGGACTGAATCTGTTTTGAGTTTTTGAATGTTAGTAAACATCCCAATACTCCAGTTTTCCATATATCATATAATTTGATATAAGAGGAAGTCAAGGTGGATCTTGTCTATTTGAGTAGGAGAAATGCTTGATAATACTTGATATTATCCTGTGCAAGGATTTGGATAATTGCCATTTCCATCTTTTTTTTTTTTTTTTTTTTTTTTGAGATGGCGTCTAGCCCTGTTGCCCAGGCTGGAGTGCAGTGGCGCCATCTCGGCTCACTACAACCTCTGCTTCCTGGGTTCAGGCAATTCTCCTGCCTCAGCCTCCCGAGTAGCTGGGATTACAGGCACCCACAACCACACCCAGCTAATTTTTGTATTTTTAGTAGAAACGGGGTTTCACTGTGTTGCCCAGGCTGGTCTCGAACTCCAGACTTCGAGATCCGCCTGTCTTGGCCTCTCAAATTGCTGAGATTAGAAGCATGAGCCACCGCGTGCAGCCCCCCCGTCCCTTTTTTTTTAAGACAGAGTTTTGCTCTTGTTGCCTAGGCTGGAGTGCAATGGTGCAATCATGGCTCACCCGCAACCTCTGACTCCTGGGTTCAAGCGATTCTCCTGCCTCAGCCTCCCGAGTAGCTGGGATTACAGGCATGTGCCACCACGCCCTACTAATTTTGTATTTTTAGTAGAGATGGGGTTTCTCCACGTTAGTCAGGCTCGTCTCGAACTCCCGACCTCAGGTGATCCTCCTGCCTTGGCGCCTCCCAAAGTGCTGGGATTACAGGTGTGAGCCACCGTGCCTGGCCGCCATTTCTATTTTTAAGAAGGTAAGATTCAGAGCAAAAATACTCACTGCTTATAAAAAGAGTTATTTAGTCAGGATTATAAGAAGAAACCTATTTTTGCCTTCATTTAACTGCAAAAAAATGTAAGCTGTAACTCATTATCTTTCTTGAGTTCTTTTTTTTCTTTAGTAAATCTTGTCACATTTTAGCATTGTTTCTTATTTCAGCCGTGTATTCTTTGTATAAGCCTTGCTCAGTCTGCATGCCATTAGTGTTTTCAGCCTGCTTTGTATTGATAGCTTCTTACATTTCAGTGTTTATAATTGACAGCGCTCTTTAATTAACTAGTTCAGATCAAATTGAATGGTGTTATTTCTATAACATAATTAGAAATCTTTTCAGAGGTTCCTTCCATGATTTCTAGTTTTAGTTTATGAAACATTTACAGTATAAAATATTTGTTTTTCTTTTTTCTTTTTGTTTATATAGAAGTGGTACACCATCCCCAAAACGAACATCTGTAGGCTCCAGGCCACCAGCAGTAAGAGGCAGTAGAGATCGTTTTACTGGAGAATCATACACAGTGCTGGGTAGGACAAAACATAATTGTTTTTCATTATCTCAGATTAAAGGCATCACAATCACACTGGTGGACTTTCCACTCAAAGTGACTGCCTGTATATTGAATAAATCTTTGCAAGAAATTTCTCCCAATTGAAGCCTAATTACTTTGGGGAGTTTTCAGATTGTCTTATTATTATTGATACTTTTAAAACTCTACTTCAGCTTACGTAGTGTTCCCACATCTTTATATATAAGCCGGGAGGGGGGATAGTAAGGAAGAAAACCTCTGAAGCGTTTTATATTCAAGAATAGTACTAAACGTAAAGGTAAAGTTAGAGCAGGTACTCAGCATTTAATGTCTGTGTGTTAACATGATTATTCTTATAGGAAAAGTACTTGAATAAAAATTTTTGTGTCTTTTTTTGGGACGAGTGGTAGGTAAAACTGTGTGACTCATAAGGAAGAGATGAGTCAAATCTACCTTTCTGATCTTTTGTAGGAGACACTGCTATTGAAAGTGGACAACATTATTGGGAGGTCAAGGCCCAGAAGGATTGTAAATCCTACAGTGTGGGAGTAGCATACAAAACGTTGGGGAAATTTGACCAATTGGGAAAGACAAACACTAGTTGGTGTATCCATGTCAACAACTGGCTACAAAACACATTTGCAGCAAAGCATAATAATAAAGTCAAAGCTTTGGATGTTACTGTTCCTGAAAAAATAGGTGTATTTTGTGATTTTGATGGGGGTAAGTTTATTTTCTCGTAGGTTATTTCATCATAGTTGCTTGCATTTCAGTACCTTTCACTGGTAATCATCTATACAGGATTTCCATTAGTATTGTGGGAAGGACATTTTGATCAGGTAGGCTTTTGATTGCAATCATAATCTCAATTCTAGAATTGACTGGAATGGTATATGTGATGTCTGCCTGGAGCCCTATAAAAGCACTCATTTATAATATACTAAGTCTGAAAGATTTTGCTAATTTTAGTCTTCAGCACTAACATTTCTTCTGTCCATTTTAATTCCTTCCTTACCATGTTTTATTACCTACCTCTAAAGAGTGATAGTCAAAATTTTCTAGTTGAAGTAGATCTTAGAAATTACCCAACCCAGGATGAATACCCCATTTTACATGATGTGATTATTACACATTGCATGCCTATATGAAAGCATCTCATATACTGCGTAAACATACACACCTACTATGTACCTACAAAAATTAAAAAAAAATTCAAGAAGATACCAGAGCCATATTTTCTACTATCCTAGTAAACATAAGCTATACAGCAAATATTTACTGTGCCAAACCGCATCACACTTGAAACGAATGGAATGTTCTTAATTTTCAAGTTGCTGTCTTTAAAAATATTCTTCAGAATGACTCATGATATCTTTAGAGGGGCCAAAGGGGTTTCCCCTCAATATCAGAATTTCTTTACTTACAAAATTATTAACACAGTGTAGTCTAATCCAAAAAAGAAAAGAAATTACTCCATCTGCCACACAGTATACAGTTCTTAGTACACTATCTCTGCAGGTAGTTGCCACTTATGTGCCTGAAGAACTTTTAATGTGAAGTTTACTGTCTTAGAAAGCAGCCTGTTTCATTGTTGGACAGCTCTTGGTTAGAAGATTTTTCTTAAGTTGACTCACATTGTTTCCCTTAAATTTTCCCATCTGAATAAACACAGAATTACGTTTCCTCACTCATGTTCACACGATAATCCTTTATTAAAAACTTTCTTGCCCTGTTTTTCCAGACCATATATTCTGTTATTAGCTGCCCCTGTTAAAATTTAATTTTTCCAAGTCTTTATAATCTCCTATGGCTGTCTAGTATGTCAGTGTTTTTCTTAAAGGTTGGTCTTAGAGTGGAACACATGACCTCTGACCAGCAAAGGACAGTAATTTGGCTATGCTATTTCTAATAGTATGACTTAGCACTGCTGATCAATATTGAGCTTGTAGCTACCCTAATCCATTAGATCTTTTTTCACGGCATTATGTCAAATTGTCTTTTTCTTTTGTTAGGCAGTTTATGGTTTTGGTTTTTTTTGTTTTGTTTTGTTTTGTTTTTGAGACAGAGTCTTACTCTGTTGTCCAGGCTGGAGTGCAGTGGCTCAGTCTCAGCTCACTGCAACCTCTGCCTCCCATGTTCAAGCGACTCTCCTGCCTCAGCCTCCTGAGTTAGCTGGGATTACAGGTGCATGCCACCACGCCTGGCTAATTTTTGTATTTTTAGTAGAGACGGGGTTTCACCATGCTGGCCAGGCTGGTCTCAAACTCCTGACCTCAAGTGATCCACCTGGCTGGGCCTCCCAAAGTGCAGGGATTACTGCCATGAGCCACCACACCCAGCCAGTTTATGGTTTTTAAAAATAACTCAATGTTATATGTAATGCAAATGAAGACTATTACATTTACCCTTTTTTAGTTTCATCTTAATAGATTTGGCCCAAATTTCCCGTCTTAAAATTATCTAAAAATTTACTTGATATTTATATTTTGAAAAAATTTTAAAGCTCATTGAATTAGTTATTTCATAAGCATATTCTCTACAGTCATCTAATGTATAATAATTTTGAAGATGACATAATATTGAACTAAAGTAATTCCCTAGATGTTTTTTCTCCAAGTTGACACTTAAGCTAATACCAAATTTTATTATTTTAGTAATATTGTGCCCAAATAATTCCGTGAGCTGTCAGTTAATTTACTCAAAAAAGGAGAAAAAGTAATTTTGGCTTGATTTATTTTTAGTGATGACATGTTAGCTTTGCTGTGTTTTTTGTTTTTTAACTTATTCACCTTGAATCAGTTAAATCATTTTCCTCAGGATAAATGGCAAATTTATTAGCACACATTTTTTTTTCAACTACCAAGACAACATTTGCTTCTTCTCTCTCCTTTCCCATACTCTGTGAGTCCATAAAGGTAGTAGTGAGATACAGTTTTTAGTCTAGAACATAACGTATGGCAAGGGGAAGTTGTACTGTGGAATAGGATCAGATTCTGAGAGCCTTGAAAAATAATAATGGACTGGTCTTCAGTAGTGGGGAGGGGTGGTTCTGCATGTTTTAGAACACTATAGTCATAAGATAATTGAGTTTTAGAAATATTAGAGAGTCAGTGGTTAAAGATGGAAGAGATCGAAAGCATAGCAAGCATAAGACTTTTCGGGAAGCAGTCTTCAAGTGGTGTAGAGCAGGACTGAGTCTCTTGTTAGCTATTAAGCCCTTATTGCCTGGCTAGTGCTTTTCACATAGAAAGCCCTTAATAAGTGTTGAGTAACTGGCAACAAGCATCTGAGCAGTGGAGAATTAAGAATGGATTTGACAGTGTAGAAGTAGAATTCATAGGACTTAGTAACTAAATACAGATCAGCTGAGGACAGACAGTTGAAGATGACTTTGAGGTTCCAGCCAGTGTGATCAAGAGGATGACAGTGTCAACAGGATAGGGAACATAGAGTTTTGGGGGGAAATGAAATGCCAGCAGGATAATCATGTGGCATGTTTAGCAAGCATTTTGAAATTCAGTGCTAGAATTCAGCAGTTAAGTAGAGCTGACATTAAATATTTGAGACAGCATTACAGAATTGCTATGGAAGATTGTACAGGACAATATATTTAAGCATTACTATTCTGCTGTTTACTAACTTTGTGATCATATGTACCGTTATGCTGTTTACCAACTTCGAGATCAAAGTACTGGGTACTTTACATACATTACCTCAAAATATTAAACAATCTACATAATAATGTGCATAAATATTAGTTTATTTTATCTTCCTCTTTGGTGGCAGTTGATTTATTAAGGAAGCATTATATAAAGAAAAGAGAGCATGGACAAAGTGGCTACATTTAGAACAGGAAGAAAAGGAGGAGATGGTGAAGTTATCCCCAGGGTTATGATACAAACCAAGGGAATGGTCATCAGAGAAGAGTTTCAAGAAGTGATAACAGCTGTAAGGAGGCCATTTGGTTGGCCAGTTTAGGAGGTCAGACAGACAGTTTTTTTTAGGGCATGATCCTATTGAAGGATATACTGTGAGGTGATTTTAAAAATTAACAAAGCAGGTCAGGCATAGTGGCTCATGCTTGTAATCCTAGCACTTTGGGAGACTGAGGTGGAGGATTGCTTGAGCTCAGGAGTTCAAGCCCAGCTTATACAAAATAGCAAGACCCCGCCTCTGTTAAAAAAATTAACAAAATTGAAGCAGTGATAGATATATTGTGATTTTAGAGACTGGAGTATCAGTATCGCATCAGGTAGATAGAAGACAAGGTTTAATAGAGTAAACCTTAAATGGTGATTAGAATTTGGGCAGAGAGGCTGGTTATAGGAAAAATAAGGAGGAAGAAATGGCCTTGGTTTACACTGGGCTAATGAAACCATTTGTTAAATAATGATCAAATAAGGAAATAGTTTGTATTAAATAAGTCGAATCGTGCTAGATTATAGAGGTATTATAGAGGTCTTGAAAACCAGGGGAAGAAAATTGGATTGGGCTTTTCCTTAAGCATTTGTCCTTCTGATTTTCAAGTGAGAATAATTAATCCAGTCCTCATACAAAAATTAATGCCAACTTATATATTATTACTTTTTGCATGATTATGCGTTAGAATTAATTAAATGTTACAATTTTTTGTATAATAAATTAGGCTTTTTTTCCTTCTTTTTTAGGTCAACTTTCATTCTATGATGCAAATTCTAAACAGTTGCTATATTCCTTTAAGACAAAATTTACTCAGCCAGTACTACCTGGTTTCATGGTTAGTATGTTTTATATCTTATATATACCTAACATATTTTACTTGGTTGGCAACTTTAAGGAGAATATTCTATACTGTATATTTGGAGAAGGAGAATATTTTGTTTTTTCTTCATATTCTCCTCCATTTCCCCAATTCACCCTCTCCCAAATCTGTGATTGTTTTTATATATTTTTGGTATATTTTATTGAAGTTTATGTTAATACATGAAGTACACAAATCATGTAGTTTGATGAGTTTTTATAGGACTGCACTCATGTGTAACTAGCACTTAGAACATTACGAGAACCTCAGAAGCCCCCTCTAGTGCCCATTTCCAGTCCCTAATGGCCCTTCTCCAGTGTTAGCACTGTATTGACTTTTAATACCCTAAATTTACTTCCTTTTCAGTTTTATATAAACAGAATCATACAGTATCTTTTTGACTCAACATTATGCTTGTGAGATTAATCCATATTCTATGTGGTTATAGTTCATTCATTCTCATAGCTGTATAGTTTTCCATTCTGTGACTATATCAATTGATTTATAAATTTTAATTTAGTTGGATATGTGGGTGGTTTCCATTTGGGGGCTATACAAATAGAACTGCTATGAATACTTTTGTTCATATCTTTTGATAAATGTATGTGTATATTTCCATTGAGTATATACCTATGATTGGGGTTGCTAGATCATATCGTATATGTATAATCAACTGTAAAATTGCCGGTTTTCTGAAATGGTTGGTTATGCTAATTTACAACTAGCAGTATGTAAGAATTTGAGTTCCTTCAAATCCTTGTCAACACTTAGTATTATCTTTTAAAAAATTTTTTGTCCTTCTAGTGGATGATATATTACATTTTGGTTTTAATTTGCATTTCCTTGATTACTAGTGCTGTTGAGCACCTTTTTATATATTTGTTGACTATTTGGGTATATGCTTTTGTGAACTGGCTATTCAGATCTTTTGCTTGTATTTCTATTAGGTTGTCTTCGTGTTTCTTATGGGTTAATTTGTAGGCTCTTCTTCACTCTGGCTTTCCTTTTTCCTTATTGGTATTGTTTGATAAACAAAAGTTAATTTTGTTCAGTTTATCAATTTTTTCATTTACAGTTAGCACTTTTTGTGTTCTGTTTAAGAAATCAGTATGCACCCCCAAGGTCATGAAAATATTCTTCTAAAAGCTTTACCTTGTACATTTAGATATAGACTGCATTTACAATGCAAGTACAATGTAGAATTGATGTGTTTGGTATGAAGTAAGGATCTAGATACGTTCTTTAATTCCCCATGGATATCCAGTTATTCCAGGACCATTTATTGACAAGATCATAGTGCAGTGTCATCTTTGTACAAAATATTAGATGACTGTCTTTGTGTGCTATGCTGAATATATGTATGCACACCACATAGCAATTACATCCTGTGTAATTGCAGGTCTACTCAATTTCAGGCTGAAAAGAAAAATTTGTTTCTCTGCACAAAATAAAACATGGTTTTGAATTTATTTAAGCAAATGTTATTGCTTTTTCCAACTCATAACCTTCTGCATCTTTTCATAGGTTAGGTTCCCGTGGGGAGTTGTGGGATCCAGTTAAAGTTACCATTACTTTGGCTAGAGCTTTTCTTAAATTTGGAGGCTACCTCTATAAGTCAAGATGGTATATTTCAAATGGAATATTTTGCATGTATATTCTTCTGTCATCACCCCTAACTGTAACTTCTCAACTATAAGGAGAAAGTTTTCAGAGTAAGAGTGGGTTGAAAATACAGTGCTTTTAAATCTCATTATCCATAGTAATTATTTATTCCAGATACTTTAATCTCTTAAGTTTAAAACAATGCTAATAACCAGGACACCTATTTTTACATTAAAAGTAAGTGATTAGTGACTAAAGTTATTGCTCATGGAAACATAAAGATACTGGAAGGGAGGGTTGTTTCTTTTTCCTTTTTTTTTTTTTTTTAACTTTGTACAAACCTCTGCCATATTACGCATTTTTGGCTATTTTTCCAAACTGGTCCATCAAGGATGAGTTGTTTACCATGTGGAATGCAGAAAAATTTTTTCCAAGACTTAGGTGTGCTTTTATAAATAGTAGATTTACTTTTAATTTGAATCTATCTCATGTATGTATGTACTGAGTTTATTGTTTTTCATTCCAAATAATACTCTAATTATATTAGTATATGTCATAAGATACTGCAAGAAATTATTTTAAGCTTGTTAAAATTTTTTTTCCTTCATTGAAGGCTTGCTTTTATTAAGTACGTTAATGCCTATTAAATGTTTTGTGTACAAGATTAATTTTTAAGTCAGTTTTATTGAATTTATAGTATGGTGCAGTTCTGTGGTTTTTAGCAAATGCCTGCAGTTGTATAACCACCACCATAATCAAGATATAGAACATTTCCATCACCCTAGAAAATTCCTTTGTGTTCTTTTATAGTGGACCGTTCCACACAACCAGCCCTAGCTATCAGTAACCAGTTCGTAGGCCCTATAGTTGTACCTTTTCCAGAACATCGTATAAATAGAATTGTATGGTATGTAGCCTTTCGATTCCGTACCATGCTGCATTTGAAATTCATCCATGTTGTTGTGGTGTCAGTATTCTCCTTTTTTTCATTGCTGAGTAGTGTTTCATATATGTATGTATCACAGTTTATTCATTCATTCACCAGTTGAAAGACACTTGGGTTTTTCCCAGTTTGGGGCAGTTATGAATAAAATCACTATAAGCATTTACATATGGGATTTTCCCTTGGGTAAATACCTAAGAGCAGTAATAGAGTAGCTGTATCACATTGAAAGTGTATGTTTAACTTCATGGGGAACTACCAAAATGTTTTCCAAAGTGGCTGTACCATTTTTTGCCTTCCTATCAGTGATATGAGAGTTGGTCATATCCTTGCCATTATTTGATATTACCAGATTTTTTGTTGTTGTTAAGCCATTTTAATAGGTGTGTAGTGGTATGTCATTGTGTTTTTATTTGTAGTTTCCTAATGACAAATGATGTTTCATGTCCTTATTTGCCATTCATATAATTTATTTCAAGTATCTGTTAAAATTATTTGCTTACTTTTTAGGACTTAATTGTTTTCTTATTTTTTTATTTTACTTTATTTTTAAGACAGGGTCTCGCTCTGTCACCCAGGCTAGAGTACAGTGGTGCGATCACAGCTCACTGCAGTCACAACTGCCTGGGCTCAAGTGATCCTCCCACCTTAGCCTCCCGAGTAGCTGGGATTACAGGTGCCCACCACCATACCCGGCTATTTAAAAAATGTTTCTTGTACAGATGGAGTTTTGCTATATTGCCCAGGCTGGTCTCAAAGTCCTGGGCTCAAATGATCCACCAGCCTTGGCCCCCCAAAATCCTGGGATTACAGGCATGAGCCACTGCCTGGTTTTCCTGTTTTTAAGAGTTCTTTATAAGTTTGGATGTGAATCCTTTGTCAGATATATGCTTTGCAAATATTTTCTCCTGGTTATGGTTTGCATTTTCATTTTCTGAACATTTCAGAGAGAAGTTTTTCATTTTGTTATGAAGTCCAATTTGGTAATTTTTTTCCCTATTATGGGTAATGCTTTGCTTAACTCAAGGTCACAAAGGTTTTATGTTTTCTTCTTGATTTCCCTTTGCATCTTCATGTTAGATATTTTGAGTAAATATTTTTCTAAATCATTTAAATAATTTCCAAAAAATAATATAGTAGTTTTATAATCAGAAAGTTGCTTTTGTATTTTGGGAGTTATCATTACTGAGCCTGTTAGTTTTGAAAATTTATAATGTTAATTATATAATTACAAATTTCACAGTTCAGTAGATTCTTTGGTATAATAATCTAGTTACTTAGTAGATATTGAACACTTAAGGGTATAATTGAAGGTGATGATACTTAAACAACTTCTAGAATTTCCCTTGCTTTAAGCTTGTGTCTACTATTAATATATACGGTAGTTGATGATAGTGTCAATGATCTGTATTTTCATATTTTAATTCTTTTGACTGTGTCCCAAATCTTATGTCTCACTTTATTGAATTATAGCTGCTCTGTTCACAAGCAGTTTTAATTTTATTTTATTTTTTGTTTTTATTTTTATTATACTTTAAGTTCTAGGGTACATGTGCACAACGTGCAGGTTTGTTATATATGTATACATGTGCCATGTTGGTGTGCTGCACCCATTAACTCGTCATTTACCTTAGGTATATCTCCTAATGCTATCCCTCTCCCCTCCCCCAACCCCACAACAGGCCCCGGTGTGTGATGTTCCCCTTCCTGTGTCCATGTGTTTTCATTGTTCAGTTCCCACCTATGAGTGAGAACATGTGGTGTTTGGTTTTTGTCCCTGCGATAGTTTGCTGAGAATGATGGTTTCCAGCTTCATCCATGTCCCTACAAAGGACATGAACTCATCCTTTTTTATGGCTGCATAGTATTCCCTGGTGTATATGTGCCACATTTTCTTAATCCAGTCTATCATTGATGGACATTTGGGTTGGTTCCAAGTCTTTGCTATTGTGAATAGTGCCGCAATAAACATACATGTGCATGTGTCTTTATAGCAGCATGACTTATAATCCTTTGGGTATACACCCAGTAATGGGATGGCTGGGTCAAATGGTATTTCTAGTTCTAGATCCCTGAGGAATCGCCACACTGTCTTCCACAATGGTTGAACCAGTTTACTCTCCCACCAACAGTGTAAAAGTGTTCCTGTTTCTCCACATCCTCTCCAGCACCTGTTGTTTCCTGACTTTTTAATGATCGCCATTCTAACTGGTGTGAGATGGTATCTCATTGTAGTTTTGATTTACATTTCTCTGATGGCCAGTGATGATGAGCATTTTTTCATGTGTCTGTTGGCTGCATAAATGTCTTTTGAGAAGTGTCTGTCCATATCCTTTGCCCACTTTTTGATGGGGTTGTTTTTTTCTTGTAAATTTGTTTGAGTTCTTTGTAGATTCTGGATATTAGCCCTTTGTCAGATGAGTAGATTGCAAAATTTTTCTCCCATTCTGTAGGTTGCCTGTTCACTCTGATGGTAGTTTCTTTTGCTATGCAGAAGCTCTTCAGTTTAATTAGCTCCCATTTGTCAATTTTGTCTTTTGTTGCCATTGCTTTTGGTGTTTCAGACATGAAGTCCTTGCCCATGCCTATGTCCTGAATGGTATTGCCTTGGTTTTCTTCTAGGGTTTTTATGGTTTTAGGTCTAACATTTAAGTCTTTAATCCATCTTGAATTAATTTTTGTATAAGGTGTAAGGAAGGGATCCAGTTTCAGCTTTCTACATATGGCTAGCCAGTTTTCCCAGCACCATTTGTTAAATAGGGAATCCTTTCCCCATTTCTTGTTTTTGTCAGGTTTGTCAAAGATCAGATGGTTGTTGATGTGTGGTATTATTTCTGAGGGCTCTGTTCTGTTCCATTGGTCTATATCTCTGTTTTGGTACCAGTACCATGCTGTTTTGGTTCCTGTAGCCTTGTAGTATAGTTTGAAGTCAGGTAGCGTGATGCCTCCAGCTTTGTTCTTTTTCCTTAGGATTGTCTTGGCAATGTGGGCTCTTTTTTGGTTCCATATTAACTTTAAAGTAGTTTTTTCCCATTCTGTGAAGAAAGTCAGTGGTAGCTTGATGGGGATGGCATTAAATCTATAAATTACCTTGGGCAGTATGACCATTTTCACGATATTGATTCTTCCTATCCATGAGCATGGAATGTTCTTCCATTTGTTTGTGTCCTCTTTTATTTCATTGAGCAGTGGTTTGTAGTTCTCCTTGAAGAGGTCTTTCACATCCCGTGTAAGTTGGATTCCTAGGTATTTTATTCTCTTTGAAGCAATTGTGAATGGGAGTTCACTCATGATTTGGCTCTCTGTTTGTTATTGGTGTATAGGAATGCTTGTGATTTTTGCACATTGATTTTGTATCCTGAGACTTTGCTGAAGTTGCTTATCAGCTTAAGGAGATTTTGGGCTGAGACAATGGGGTTTTCTAGATATACAATCATGTCATCTGCAAACAGGGACAATTTGACTTCCTCTTTTCCTAACTGAATACCCTTTATTTCTTTCTCCTGCCTGATTGCTCTGGCCAGAACTTCCAACACTATGTTGAATAGGAGTGGTGAGAGAGGGCATCCCTGTCTTGTGCCAGTTTTCAAAGTGAATGCTTCCAGTTTTTGCCCATTCAGTATGATATTGGCTGTGGGTTTGTCATAAATAGCTCTTATTATTTTGAGATATGTACCGTCAATACCTAATTTATTGAGAGTTTTTAGCATGAAGGGCTGTCGAATTTTGGTAAAGGCCTTTTCTGCATCTATTGAGATAATCATGTGGTTTTTGTCTTTGGTTCTGTTTATATGCTGGATTACGTTTATTGGTTTGCGTATGTTGAACCAGCCTAAGCAAAGCAGTTTTATCTTTCACAAAGTCATTCACATTTATGATAAGTAATAGAACATGGGAAGTACATCTGGATATTGGGATTTGCATTTTTGTCAGGAGTCCTTCTTAAATAATTATATAAGAGTTCTTATAGTTAACACGGTAAGGAAGAAAACAGTGGATTTTACTGTTAACTGAGGGGTGTTAGATTTTTATAGTCTCAGGCCATATCTCATTATCAAAACCAAAAGCATAAGTGGGAAGTAAGTTGGTGCTTTGTATGCTTCCCTTGGTTGTGAAAATTAGCATCAGTAATGATAGGTAATACCTTTTGCCTAGATTAAGCCAATGAAGTTTCTCAATTTCTGCACCCCTGAGTTCCTTCTCTTGGGTGCAGCTTCAGTTGGTTCTGCTACCACCAAGACCTCCTCTGGCCTCTGTGGTTCTAAAATAATTCTGATTTAGTCTTTCCATTTCCCCTCAGCTGAAATATGACAGTTAATGTGTTTGAGAATGATTGATGTTCATATGTGTGGCATTTTGCCTTTGAAATGGAAATTTAAAAATCACTGAAATTCTAGTTTGATTTGCAATCTGACAGGTTTTTTTGTCTTTTCTTAGGTATGGTGTGGTGGACTTTCTTTGAGTACTGGGATGCAGGTTCCAAGTGCTGTGAGAACACTTCAGAAAAGTGAAAATGGAATGACTGGTTCAGCTAGCAGCCTGAACAATGTTGTTACTCAATAGTGTCTACTCAGAATACGTTTACCCTCCGTCTTGATTAGGTGGCCTTTTCTGTGCAGTTACTAATCACAGGAATTTGGTAGTAGTGAAAATCAGGTTTGCTGTGTTCTGCTTTGAGGCCTGGAATCTTTTATCATTAAACACCTAGTACGAAGCATTTGCAGGAACCTACTGTGCAGTATCATAGAAGCAAGCAGATACCAAGCAAAAAACTGATGATTGAAGAGTAAATGGGGGAAAAGGCAGTGTTTAATTAACATAAAAACTCATTTTTGTATTTCTTGGATTACTTTGACTATTCTAATGTTTAATTACATATGGTAACCCTAAGGCCTGGGGAGAAAAGCTTTTAAATCTTGCCTTCTTTCTTCTGTACTTTGTCTTTTTAAAATCTCATTACTATCTATTATTTAGTTCTAACACAGAAGCTTTAAAAATACATAGTCATCCAAGGTTTTCTAAAAATTGAAATCATATGTTGGGAATGGTAAAAAGGTTTTCAAATGGTTTATTTTTCCTCTTTTATAAATAAGTTTTACAAAATTTTCCTCTTTTGTTTATTGACTAGATTGTATATAATTTTCTTTTTTCCAAAATATTGTGATAAGAAATTTCTAGACACAACAGCTTAAAATCACCCAAATTTCAGTTCTTTACCTACTGCACTAACAATGGCAAGGGGGGTATTCTTTATATGTTGCCTTGTTTAACTACAGTTCTTTTCATTCCATCACTTTAGGTGATGGGTAAGATTTTTGAAAGCCTTATATTTTTTGATTTTGTTGTCTAGTTTAATCCTACCTTTAATAGTTGTGTTTGGTAAAATTCCCACTTGAATGTGACACTGATAATAATTATGCTGATTTTTAGCATCTCTTATAGGAATCAAAGTTTATTAAAGTTACATAGAGGATTGAAAAATGTATATCACTCAATTTTTATCTAAGAAGGATAGGTTATAAAGGGAGGTACCTAAATACTCAAATAATGTATATATTCTTTTTCATAACATATGGAATGCTTTAAGCAATTGTTTTGAAAAAAATCTGCGTATCTTTGACTTAATTGGCACATGACTTTTTCAAGCAGCCATTCATTCAGAGGTTTGTTTTCTCTCAGTCCTTTTGCTACATTCACTTTCTTTTCAAAGAAATGTTAATTATTACAAAAATTGACATAGATATCTTTCCCAAACTTGGGGTAAAACCCATGGTTATGTGGAACATAACTGTTCTTAAAAAGTCAATTATAATTTGTAACTCACATCCTTTGAGCTAAACTAAATTAAAATTACAGTATTTAATAATTCTTTGGGCATTTTTAAGAGGTCTGAATTTGTATTTTTCTTCATTTTTGAAACTTTACATTTGTTGACTTTTTTTCATTCTCATTTAAAATATATTGTGCTATGATAACCAACCTTCTTCCAAGGAGTGACCATTACTGCCTACATTTGCGTTGCTTTCTACATAGAGACTTGTATAATAGTATTAATAGTAGCTCATTCTCTCTAAAAATTTACTGCCCACTGATAGGATGTTTTGTTTCCTTGATAAAACAAATGTAAATGAGGAATTTTATTTGAATTGGAATATTGTTTTTCTAGAGGACATTCATATCTGCACTATTATCTGATGACATGTTGGTAATTTTAAAGACTGCAAGGCAGTTTAGAGAATGAAGTAAACCAATAGATACTCTTTTGATTCTCCAAAGAAATATAATTTTGGTTTTTGTTCCTCAGAGAGAGTTTGAAAGAAATTTTCAGATGTTCTGTTCCCTATAGAGGGCCTATTCCAGGATCTAAATGAATGGGAATTTATAATTCCTTTCATAGACTCAAACCTGAAAGCAGAAATTTTTAGTAGTTGAGTTGCTTTAAGTGAATTTTAACAAATATGACACAGAAAAGGTCAGATGCTGTTGTATAAAATTTTTTACTAGTGTGTCTTATATAATTCTTTCTTCTCATTAATTCAGTGCCTTTTTCCTCTAAGCATACTCTTGGTCCATGCCCCATGCAGTGTCAACTGATGTTTAAGCTACAGAGCATTGTTGTAGTGGTGAGGGCCCTCTGTTGCAGGGGCATGGGGAAATGCATATATTAATCAGGGGCTGGAGGAGTATACATGATTCTTGTGTTCATGTTGTCATTTGAAACTCTTCACATAAAATTTTCTAATATTCATTTGGAAAACCTCTCCACTGGAGAGGTTTCATCTCTGAGAGGTTTTGTAATAATAGTGTAAGTTCAGTAAATCCAGTCCAAATTCTCATCACATGTATTATTTGATACTAAATTTTCAATTATTACTTCAAAATAAGAGTCTGAGGATTTCTTCTTACTGGCGTTCTTAAAGGTCTCTAAAATTAAAGAACAAGATGTGGTTTTTTGTTTAAGACGTTTTTAGTTTATTTGTTGTTAAGTTAAACTGGAGAAAGTTTGTCATCCTCATTTTCAAACTGAAAACTAATCAAATATAGTGCCTATTTAGTCTCAAAATAAGGTAACTATTAACTTGATTATACTATATAATATTCTCAATTACATTTGAATTTAAAAATATTGAGCTCTTGATTACAATTTAATACATTGTAAAAAGTATTAAATCCTTTGAAACATCTTTTGTTGCTTATTTAGTTTTTGTTTCTACAGGTCAAACATGATTGCTTTCTATAAAAGAAATGCTTGAGAGGTTGACTATAATGGATATGTCACAGGTATAAAACAGTTGTTTTCTAAAAACATGCATTTAGTATGGCATTCTCTTTTAGCAACTGAATTCCCAACGAGTTTTATTAAGCTGGATATCGAAATGAAGGAGCTGCCTTAAGCACTTTAGAAAAAGAATTTTTTTACAATTCATTTTGACTCTCATGGCTGACCATGTCATTATGTCTTTAAATTTTGGTAAATATGTAGATACCAAGCATTAATAACTAATGCACACAGAAATTTAATATACAGCAATTCTTTGAATGTTCCAGGTGTACGTAAACTAACTGAAAGTATTAAGGACATGCCTGTCTATACATGGGTTTCATTGATGGTATCTGTATCATCTTGACAAATCGTGAACTGCTGCTGTATGGCTAGACTTTGCCTATTTACTCTGTTATGCAAACAGTAATTTTTCCCTATGTTATGAAGAGAGACATATTGGCTTGCTTTAATTTACTTATTTATGAAATTAAAGCATGAATAATATGTATAATTTGAATTTTTTGTGACTGATCCTTGGCAGTATAAATGATAAAAGTAAATGTAATGGAATCTTTTAATTAGGCTAAGATATGCTATTTCATAACTTATGTAGAATGATTTTTATCTATATACTTTGTCCATAAAATTATAATTGTTTATGTAATTTTATTGTTTCTTATGGAAACAATTGGAAAAGTATATGGAAAATGATTATTTCAAAGAATATTTATTTAAAGAGGGAAGTGTAGACTTCTTACTGTAAAATATGTGATTCCAGGCTTAAGAAATTGATTATATTTTAAAATAATTATTTTTTTAAAAACGTAATTTGTTTTTAAAAGATGAGTCTCCATTCATTGGCTAATCCATACAGCAAATATTTGAGTGTTTGTGATATGGCAGTAAAAATGTGATTACTTTGTATGTACATTAACCAAAACCAGTGAAGTTTGATGGACTGTGCATAGAGTTTTGCAGCTTTTGAGTAGTGTGACAGAGTTTGCCTCTTAAAATTGTTTTGCTAATAAGTCAGAAGTTTAAAATGTGTTATAGTTTGCTAAAAAAAAATCAAATTAACTGCATATAAAATGGTTCACTTTTATATAGTCACATGTAATGGGCCTGAAAAAGTTTCTTCTTTGATTATGTAGTTACTCTAGATACATTCTTTTAGGGAAGTGTATGGTCAACATATATTTACTCAGTATACAGATAACCACAAAGTTGTTATTTTTAACCAAAATATACATTTCATAATGTTGGCACTGGAGTATTATAAGAGATCATGAATGTTTCCTTAATTATCATGGCAAGATTACCTCACGTTCAGTATAGTTTAGTTTTGTGTGTATCTTACAGTATGCATGTTCTGAAATTATTTGTGATCCTGATATGTCACATATAATAGCTTTGTTACCTGGAGTATTTGATTAACCTAAACAGTTTAAGCATTTTGAATTAGTTGGAGTTTAAATGGATTACATTTGGTGTATATTGTCTTCATTGAAAAGATATTGTTGGATATGCCACATCAGAGTTAGCATTGACTTATAAATAAATACCAGAATTTACCAGAGTACACTTTTCTCTTCAGATGACTCAATTATTAAATAAAAGAATATTTCTTATTTCTGGGTCAATATAAGGTACTGACTTCTGATGCATAATCACTTAAGCTATGTGAGTTTAAACTGGTATCTTTTCTTAGTGGTACCCATTCAATGTAAGCTGGTCCATGGGAATGGACATGAAGAGGATTTCACAGTATGTAGAGCAGAAGGCACGTGAATGTGTTTGCTTTGGCTTGGAGCTTATTAAGTTTTGACTACGGTTAAAATAAGTCAAATAGTAAGTGGTAAAACACATTTTTGTTAGTATTGGAACTTTCTGGAGAACATAAGGGCTATGAGAATGCATATATATATTTTTTAACATTTCCTATATATCTAAGGTACCAAAGCACTGAGTCTAATTTACCTATTAAGGGAGACTCTTTAAAATCAACTTTATAACTAATTCATACTATAAGACAGATAATAGCTAAAGTTTTGGAATAATTTATATTAAAAGCCGCAAGTCTTAAAAATCCCTGGATATGACATAAAAAGGATTTTGGCTTCTTTTTTGAAGTATTTAAAATTAATCACCTTAGCTCTACCATATACTAGATCTGTGACCGCTACACAAATTGTTTATCATCTTTGGGTCTCTATTGCCTTCTTTATAAAATAAGTGTAAGTTGTTCAGCCTGCCTCACAGGGCTGTTGTGAGGAAATAAAATGAAATGGAGTATGTGAAATTGCTTCAGCAACAGCAAAGTGCTACGTAAATGTAAAGTGTTGTTTTTAGCTAATAATGGATTTAAGTGTTTGGATAATTGTAGATGCATTTACTTTGATAAAGCGTGTGCTTAAAGTGGTATCACCAGTGATTTCTAACATGATTTTAAAAAAATAAAACCCCAATTAAAATGTTCTTTAATATTCATTTAATTTGTGCATGACTTGTGGCCTTTTTGTATTTTCTCAAGCCTATTACTCTAGAGCTGTAAAAGCTCTTGCACAGCATTGTTGTGTCAGTGTAGAATAGTGGCATAAATAAATGAATTAAGCTACATTTCCATGCAGGCATTTGCACTTTGAAGTTAGGGCTGCCCAGTGCCACATGCAAAGAGTGTATTTGGTCTAAACAGTTCTTTCCAAACAACCAAATGGCTGGGCAGCTTGTTGTCACGGATAAATGATATAAAATGTAACCACTGAACATTTGACAACTTTGTTGCATTATCATTTTTAAAAAAAGATGAAGCATTTCAAAATCTTGTTAACCTGGTTATCTCTTGGTATCTCTCCTGACATATTTGTTTTGCTTTAAATTGGATTAAATGGTTTACAGGTTATCTGAATCTACAGATTTAGTATGTCTATTATCTGGACATGATTTTGCTATGCAGTTGTGATAATAAAAATTCTAATTCCTCAGGTTTGGCCTTTTAAGTTATGGCTGAAGACCTTTAATGATACTTATGATGCACTCAGTGCCATACAATAGTGTTTTAAGAAGCACATGGCCTCATTTTCCTTAGAAACAAGACAAAGCCTTTTTAAAATGTTTTTTTTTCACTTTAAAATAGGGTATTCAAAGTGGAGTAACGTGTATTTTGAAATGATTTTGTGTTCTATATAGAATGTCCCAGTTAAGATTTTACAGAAGCACCTGGAATATCTCATTAAAAATTTAAAAACTCTTTTCCTGCTCTCTTTTGCTTCATTGTTTGATTTTATTAACTTTTATTTAAGTATAAATACAATATGCTGTTGGGGATGAGAATATAAAAAAAGTCATAGTTCCTTTGCCTAAAAAGCTTAACATTTTAGAGCACTACTGTTCAACAGAATTTTATGCAATTATGAAAAGTTATTTGTGCAGTCCAATACAGTAGTGACTGGCCATAGGCAGCTACTGAGCACTTTATATGTGGCTACATAGAGTTGCATATTGCTAATAGCCACTGTTTTGAACAGTGTACCTACAGATGGAAAATGAAACATGCTATGTTAGTAACTATAATATTACTTATGAATTTGGTTTCTTTGGATCTTGCTACATGTTGGGTTACATTTTGGTAGATGGTAACTAAGAGTCAGAATCAGAACCTAAACATTTTTAAAATTCTTGCTCTAACTTGAAAACAGTTTAAAAGAAAAAAAATCAGTGAGACTGGAGCGCCTGTAACTAAGAAGTTATGTAAGAAGAATGAAAGGAGACTGGATAGTCTTGAGTCACAGGAAGAAGAATGGACAAAGATTGATAAACCACTATAGAAGATGGAGAGTGAATGGGTGCAGCATTTCTGGAGAACAATTTTAGCAATATTAAGATTTTTAAATGCACATGCTCCTTAATTTCCTTTATAAGTATTTCTCTTACATATATACTCACAAAAAAGCCAATGTTCCTTGCAGCATTACCATAGCTAATAGTAGCAACCTAATTATTAATTGAAGACCTACAAATTTGGATGGACTTGGAGGTAAATTCCTTTTCCTTTTTTGGTAGCAAGGCACAGAACTGGTTCAAAAGGCCCAAGTTGCCTCAACAAAAGAATGTGATAACAGAATTTTGAAGGCTCCCCTTTTCTAACTTGCTGCACCAGCAAACTACCATATAAGTAGTGGTCTAGATATTATATATTCTGCACATTCCCCTCCCCAATAAATGTTATATAGACCATTATGACAATTGGCTTAATTAGAGCCTTTTCCTTGGTATACCAGTTCATTTGTGCCTGGCTGGGAGTTCTGTGGCATAAGAGCTCAGGATATTATGTGCACTCTACTTTTCTACTAAACCCCATTTTACACTTACACTGCATGGTGTATTTGTATTTATTTATTTTTGCACAAGGTCAGCACAAGAGCAGATGGTTAGATTTTGGTATTTCCATGTGATCCTACACAGCTGTTAAAGGATATGCTGTTAATGGAAGTGTATTCATGATATTAAACAAAAAAGTCATCCAGCAATATATACAGTACGATACAACGGGTGTGTGCATGCATGTATACTTGGGTAAGAGGGGACCCTGACCTGATCACCACACAGTCTTGCTGTGCTTCTCTTCATGGGATGAAAAATTGAGGAGCCAAGGGATTATGCCTACTTGGAATGCATGTTTCATTACCCACTTATATACTATATTATTGAAACAGTCTTTCGTTGTCTGAGATAACACCTGGAGTTCTTGTCCACTTATATACTACATTATTGAAACAGTCTTTCGTTGTCTGAGATAACACCTGGAGTTCTTGTCCCACCTCCAAGACGATTATGGAGCACGGACACAAAGGTGAGGTTAGAGTGAAAGTTTAATAAGGTGAAAGAAGAAAGCTCTCTGCCAGCAGAGAGGGGGTCCCGAACGGGAGTGCCCATCATGAGGCTGGGGTCCAGGTTTTTATGGACGGAAGGGGAAGGAATGTGCTTAGTCTGGGGGCTGTCTTGGCGAATGCGTGACTCGGCTTGGCCCGGGACCAGTCAGGAGGTGAAATGATTCATAGATGCTGCTTAGCTTGGCCCAGGACCTATCAGAAGCTGAAGTGAAGTGTGGCCGAGGACCAATCGGGCTGAGGTGATGATACACAGCAGCTGGACTTACAGTCCTAACAAAGGAAAGTAGAGCGCCCATAGGAACTTACCAGAGCCCACTGTGCCCATGCCTACAAAAGGGGAATAAACTTTTCCTGGGAACCTGCTGACAATACAAAGGACCAAGGCATTTCTATGCCAGGCCTTGTTCCCTTATCTGAGTGAGCTGGAGGTTTGTGCAAGTTTTTATCCAAATGGGCCGTAGGTTTTTCCATCTGTGCAGTCATGGGCATGTCTCCAGGCACAACACCCTGTGCTAGTTCCCTTATTGGTGCCTGCAGCTTTTTTCCCAGGCTGCTTTTTATATTATCTGGGGATAAGGCACTGACTCATGAGCCAGGGGCTCTCCAGGACCCTTCTCTTGTTACCTACCTAAGGTAAGCTAACTAACCGGATCCCCACACTCTTGCTGTGCCTCTCTTCATGGGATGAAAAATTGAGGAGCCAAGGGACTATGCCTACTTGGAATCCATGTTCCTTTACCCACAGAATTCTATACTATGTTATCAGCCAGAACCCCAGGATTCCTTGCCTCATCAGCCTGAAGCTTGCTTCCAGGATATGTGCAGGCCTTTTGTCCAAATCCATCCTGAAAAAAGACTACTACAGATGTATATACCCCTATGGCTGGCAGTTTGTGGGAAGTACAGATGAAGCTTGGATGTGCAGACTGAGTTGTCCACATGCATGCATGATAGGCCCCTGTGGCAGGCTTAAGCTAGAAGTAAAAAGAGACCCAGGGGATCAGGGAAGGGCAGGCCAACCTAGTATCACTTTCTAGTACACTTCTGAAGAATCTGCGAATCGCATATTTGAACCTAGATTTCTGTTCCTTGAGAATACATGTTAAAGTAGAAGAGTATAACATTTTATTTGTTGGTTAACGCTCAGCTATTTAGACACTGAAAATATGTCAGGGTTGGCTTTCATTTGTATTCTTGGCCCAGACCCTACAAATGTTAGGAGTCGGCCAGGATCCTTACATGTGTGCACAGCTGAGTGGTTTATAGAACATGAATATTTACTTGTAAGAGAGGCTGTTTTTATGCATCCTTGTACCCACTCTTTCAGCTGTATTTGCTATCCAGATTAAAGCATACTGACTTGACGTTTGCCATGAGCTGAGGGCTCACATTTGACCTTTCAGTATGCTTGATAAGTAACACTGCCACCAGTTTAGTTGTATATTTACCTTCAGTTATGTTTGTTCCCAAACCTGCTTATGTAGGTGGTAGTCACTGTTGTAGTCATGTAAGTATGTAAACCAATTATATAAATATATAAACCAAAATAAATATGAAATGAGTATGAAAAGGTACTTATAAGAAAAGTACGAGAACCATTAGAGATGAAGAGTTTAAAAAGTTGCAAAGTTAGTTGTGGCCAAAGTAATTGTGAGTGATAGGGGAAGATTTTTAAAAATAAATTCCAGGACTCCAAATTTATATTCCTTCACTTGTATCTTTAAGTTCCTGGTCCATTTTACAGAAACAGAAACTACAAATGATGGATGATGCATTATGTCTATGGTTTTGTAAGAAAAACAGTGAGATACTCTAATCAGCTGGTCCATGCTTAAAATGAACTTAGTTCAAAACAGAAGATTGGCCATTGTAACCCTCTACTGAAACTGCCTTTTTGAGAAGGTTTATTCAGAACTAGATTTGTTATACACTTGGAAAGTATTTATTTCTAAGAACCTGATAATTTTTCCCTTTTCCTGTTACTTTTAATTATAATTTCCAAATATACAGAAAAGTAGAAAGCCAGTGCTTTGTGCTCATCACCTAATCAATTGTTAACATTTTGCCATGTTTGTGCTATCTATTTTGTTTTAAAATGTCACCTGTAAGTATGCTATATGCATCCATGATGGCTTTTAAAAACAGCCACATTCTGTTAACATTCTTAGCAAAATTAACAGTAATTCTGTACTATTATCTAATGGATCAGTCCATACTAAAATTTCAGTTGTCTCAGAAGTATCTTTTTACAGTTATCTTGTTCAAATCAAGATCTAGACAGGGTCCACACATTGTACTCCGTTACATCTCTTAAATATTTGATTTTACAATAGTTCCCTCTGCTTTTAAATGCCATTTATGAAAAAAACTGAGGAATTTGTCTGGTAGAATGTCCCGTTTTCTGAATTTAGTTGCTTCTCTATATCCTGTATTAGATCTAGAGTTTGAGTAAATGCAGGTTCAATTTTTAGGCAAGAATCCTTCACAGGTGTGGCTGTGTACTTTCTATCACATCAGGAAGTACATAATATATGCTTGTCCCAAATTTAGTGAGATTAAGATCAGTGGGTTTAGGTGATGCCAGTCTATTATAAAGTTCCCCATCAACCTTTCACCTTAATTTTATCATCTATTGATGTTGCCCTTTCGATTATTTTATTAGGAGTTACAAAATCGTGATTGTTTTATCATCCTCCATTTATTAGCTGGAACTCTTATAAGTACTTTGGTTACACTAAAATTCAATTCATACAAGAAAGGCAGGATAAATGCTTGATGTTTTCCCTTATCAAGTTTTAGAATATTTAATCTTCAACTTGGCAATCTTCAATCACGACTGAATTTTATTTTTTAAGGAGTCATTATAAACTCAAGAATTTTTATATTTGATGTGTTTCAATCAATAGCAAGTATGTGATGCTCAAGTTTTCCCATGTCCCATCACGTTAGCACCTGTGTTAATGATGCCATTAAGCTTTGATAACTTACTTCCTCTTGGTGTAACCTTCCACTTTTTTTTATTAACCTACTGAGTACCTACCCGTTCTGAGTGCATTGGATGAGAGGACTTCAACAGTAAGCTTGTATGTGCATAGGAAATTTCTGGAAGGAAAAACAAAAAGTTGGTAAATGTCATAACCTGTAGGAAGTGAGGAAGATTTTTTCTTCCTTTTCTTTCTGTACTGATAGAATTAAAAACAAAGCTTAGAAAACAAATATATGATGGGAGTATTTTCCGTTTTGTAGAAATAAATTATAATTACAGTAACTGGTTTAGTGAATTATGGTTTTCAAAAATTTATAAGAAGATTAATATCTGAGCCTTAACAACCACCTTTTGGATTACACCGTTAAAAGAACCAAAGTGAGAGGATCGCTTGAGGCCAAGAGTTCGAGACCAGCCTGGGCAAGATGGTGAGGACGCCCTCCCCCCCACCCCCGCCACACCCCGCCCTGCTAGCCCCCAACGTCTCTACAAAAAAAGAAAAGAAAAAAGTTAATCAGGTACAAAATTGTATCCAGCCTTAAACTGGAGGGCAACAGGTCGCTAAATCTTGAATGTCATAAAGGCACCTCAACTTCATGAGGAATAGTGAACGCAGCTGCTATTTTCCACTCTATCCCCTAGCTCTACTAATTGTATCCAAACCAAACTTCAGGGAGTTATGCTGAATCCCTCTAGCAAAGCACACGCACTAAAAAAACCACTCGTTTATCAGAAGTTCACATTTAACGGGCTTGGAAAACGGCTCAGCTGCTGCCTCCAGTTCATCTTCCGCTGTCGAAAGCGTTTCAGAACTTAAACTCTCAGATTGCCTCAGTGCGCTGCTGTAGTTGTCAATTAGGCAAGAGATAAAAAAGGGCTTTGGCTAAGTGGCTAGATTATAAAAGCGAGGAATCGCCAGGGCTCAGTGAACTTCTGGCGGTGAGGATGCGACAAGAGTCACAGGAAAGCCGAGGCTGGGGCTGGACCGTGGGAACGTCCCAGCAGGAACCAAGCCAGCCTCCGCCGCTCAGCACTTGACGGCGGCTTTTGCGGCGGTTGCTGTGAGTGCCGTAAAGCGGAGCGGCTGCAGCCTGCTGTTGAGTGAGGTAAGGTACGGGAGGCTCAGGTCGGTACCCGGGGATGGGTGGGCGCCTTCAGACAGGTACCGCTGGCGACTCGGGTGCCCTTACCGGGCATCCTCCAGCATTCTGGGCACCTGCCTACCCCTTGGTGAGGAGGCCGGCCACAGGCTGAGCGCGCTCCGGGCTGGGTACTCCTCAGTCAGTCCACGAGCATCGCGTGGTAGACTTCCACTTGGCCAGTCCTTCCCGCACTTCTGGGCGTGTCATCAGGTGAAATCTTAATCCTGGGACAGATGAAAGGTTGGAGGACGATCGAGACTCTTGTAGTAGCCGGGTTAGGGTAGTGACCCCTGACCTCAGGTTATCCGCCCGCGTTGGCCTCTCAAAGTGCTGAGATTACAGCCGTGAGCCACCGCGCCCGGCCTGAAATTTACAATTTCTCATTTAACATGAGGTAAGCCACATTTCTCTTGGCTTCAGTTTTGTCAGATGTGGAAAAAAAAAAAAAAGGACCTAGATGATATATCAGATTCTTTATGCTTTTGAAGATAGCACGTTTCCAGTCGGTAAAAATCAAGCTGTGAACAAATGACAAAGTGAATGATAGAGCAGTATATTAGAAATTGGGCAGATGGAAGCCCAGTAGAAAAGGCTGTGTTTGAGCTAGACTCTGAGGATAAATAGGGTTTGAACGATTGGAAACCATCTCTGTTGGGCCATGGACAAAGATATCAAATGCAGGAATAAGCATTTATATTTTAGCGATTCTATTTGTGGACATAAGTTTAGTGAGGGTAGAGGATTTGGGAAGGCTGGCATTGAACGGTGAAAGAACTCTTAGTGGAAAGGAAGTGCAGGGTGTTCTGACAAGGAAGAAGAAAGGAACCGGGGAAATGCCGAAAGAACAATACGCAGGACTTGATTTCTTGGATCTGGGTGATGATATTTTTAACCTGCGTTTCTAAAAAGTAAGTTTAAGTGCTGTTGGCAAAAATGGGAATTCTGTTGAATTCCAGCATGCAATAGTGTACTGGGAATAAAGTGATTTAGATCGTAGAGTGCTGAGGTTGCCAATAACTAGCCTCTTGGCTGTCATTTAATTCTTCTAGAGCCTATTCTCCATAAGGTGATGTTGGGCCAGCTGATCTCTCTTCTCTAAAGCCTGTAAAACTAGAGACTGTGAGGATGGAGAGCTAGTTACTTTCTTCTGGACTGGGAGAGGACGATAGTTGACAGAGAATAAAATTGTTAATTTTGGGGCTGGACGCGGTGGCTCACGCCTGTAATCCCAGCACTTTGGGAGGCTGAGGCGGGTGGATCACCTGAGGCCAAGGAGTTCGAAACCAGCCTGGCCAACATGGTGAAACCCTATCTCTACTAAAAATACAACAAATTAGCCGGGTGTGGTGGCGGGCGCCTGTAATCCCAGCTACTCCTGAGGCTGAGGCAGGAGAATCGCTTGAACTTGGGAGGCAGAGGTTGCAGTGAGCCAAGATCAGGCCACTGCACTCCGGCCTGGGCAACAAGAGCGAAACTCTGTCTCAAAAAAAAAAAAAAGTTAATTTTGAACATGTTAAATTTGAGGTGAGGTGCAGGAAATAGAGTTGAAAATATAGGCAGATAGAGTGCATGGACTGTAATTTAAATAGTGTTTTCTCTCACAGGTGGTAGTTAAAATCTTGAGAATGGATTTGGTTTCAGGGAGAGATTGTAGAGAGAGTAACTATAGGCCATACCCACAGAGAGGAGGTTGGAGAAATTATTGAAGGAGGCATGTGGATCTCAGAGCTAAGAGCAAGGAAGGAGTTCTTTTTAAAAAAGTTACATATAGTTGTAGATTCTCAGGGGCCCAGTGTTGTTATTAAGCTAATTTAACAGCATTTACAGCAAATAATAAGCACCTACTTCTGGGAATTCTGGCAGAAAATAAATAATTCAAATAGATATAATCTCCACTGCCTAATTGTCTACCCAGAAGTGGTATCATTTACATATTTATTTATTCAACAAATATTTATATGTTTCAAGCACTGCTGGTTCTAGGGATATAACGACGAGCAAGGTAGACATTGTTCTTATCCTCCCTGCATGTAAAGCCCTTAGCATCTACATCAGTGCTTTTCAAATTTTAATGTACATATGAATCATCTGAGGATTTTATTAAAATGTAGATTATGAATCAGTAGGTGGGGGCTGAAAATTCTGTATTACTAACAAGCTCCAATGTGATACTGATGTTCTTAGGACCATACTTTTAAGTGACAAGAATCTAGATCCTGTTTAGCAAATATGGCCGTTATTAAGCCACTACCACTACCCATCATCTGTTTCTCCTAGGATAAAATAATTTTACTTCTTATGAAAATAATATATGCTTATACAAATATTGGAACAATATAGAAAAGTGTAAAGAACCATGTAAAAATCACTCCTAATTCTCCCTACCCAGAGATAACCATTATTAATATTTTTGGGAACATTCATCCAGATTTTACATATGTACATACATTCACAATTTAAGTGTTGCACTAAGTACATGTCACACTCTAAGCCCTGTGTTTGATTCTATTTGCTGTATGATTTTATTAAGATAAATACCCAAGTGTCCAGAACCAAGCAATTAAGTACTTGCATTCTTGAGGGAGCCACTTAAAAATAATTTGGGGGCCAGGCACGGTGGCTCACGTCTGTAATCTCAGCACTTTGGGAGGCCAAGGTGGATGGATCACGAGGTCAAGAGATCAAGACCATCCTGGCCAGCCTGATGAAACCCTGTCTCTACTGAAAATACAAAAATTAGCTAGGCTTGGTGGCACATGCCTGTAGTCCCAGCTACTCGGGAGGCTGAGGTAGGAGAATCACTTGAACCTGGGAGCGGAGGTTGCAGTGAGCTGAGATTGTGCCACTGCACTCCAGCCTGGCAACAGAGCAAGAATCCGTCTCAAAAAACAAAAAAAAAAACAAAACAAAAAACAAACTTTGGGAGCCGGACAGTGTCTCATGCCTATAATCATTCCAGGTGCCCAAGAGGCTGAGGTGGGAGGATTGCTTGTGCCTAGCAGTTTGAGGCAGCAGTGAGCTATGATTGTGACACTGCACTCCAGCCTGGGTGACAGAGCAAGACTCCATTTCTTAAAAAAATAAAAACTTGTGTTACTTCAAAAATGGGGAGACATTAACATAATTACATGTGGGCTCTAGTAAATGAATATTTGTCATTTCATTTAGGATGAGAGGAGAATTTTTAAAGTTTTAAAAAAAACTTAGTTTTTTTCTTACTACAAAATCAATTGATGTTCACGTAAGATAAATAAGGAAAAAAAATAAAAGCACCTACACTCCTCCCAACCCAAAGACAATCCTTGCTGTCTTCACCTTCCTTCCTGCTAACCTGTCTTATCTATATCTTTCATTTCAGCCACTATCTTTCCAAAACCCTCTTACACCATAGTCATTCAGAAAGGAGTAACTATGTATTTATGATTTTTCTGGAGCATCTACTGGAGAAACTAAATTTCATTAGCTTTTTATCTTCAAGTAACAGCATGTGTAGGTAGAAGTTATATTGCAAAGGATTAAGTGCATGAATGGTAAGCAGGTAAAGAAACTTCTTAACCCTTTGCAGTCTAATGTTTACTTCCAAGCTGCTGACAGTTGTGAAAAGTTAGCAGTCAAAGGAAAAGAAATGGACAATAAGAAAGACCAACAGTATTTAGGGAAGATTTGATAGTAGCTGTTGCTACTGGGATATTTTTGGCTTTTGAGAACAGCTGAAAAATGTCGATTTTTTTTTTTTTTTGGTCTGACCTCTGAATTCATTTTCAGACGCATTTTCTCTTTATGCCTGCCAATCTGCTACATCATCTCTCTAACTATACCTTTTCCTAATTACACTACTCTCTTTCCTCTGTAGTTCAGCCTCCTGTTTTATTTTGTTCAGAGCATATTTGAATGTCAGTTCTGTTTTAATGAATTGCCTGAAGGATTCTTCCTGTGCGCTGCACAAACGAAACCAGTTCACTGAGACTGTGCTACTGCAGTAAAGAAACAGCTTACTTAACAATGATGCTGGCTGTGCAAAGGAGTTATTACTCAAATCAGTCTCGCCAAAGACTTGGTGGTTAGTTTTTCAAGGATAGTTTTTAGTTTGGTGGCAGGGGACTAGGGAATGAGGGCTGCTGGTTGGCTGGGGATGTGATGATAAGGGTGTGAAAAATGGTCCTTGTGTGCTGAGTCCACCTCTGGGTGGGGAGCCACGTGACTGGTTGGGTCATGAGTCACTAGTTCACCTCTAGGTAGTGTCAGTTGGTCCAGAATGCAAAGGTCTGAAAAATATCTCAAAAGACCAATCTTAGGTTCTGTAGCCAGGGAAAATATAAATCCTGTGTCCTCTGGAAAAAAGACTGGTTATCATTTAACTACATGTTACCAGAATTCAGGTCCCTCTCATAATCCTAATCTTGTAGTCTTTCATTACCTTTATAAAGGCAGTTTAGTTTTGGAAAAGGTTACTATCATCCTTGCTTTAGGTTAAACTGTAAACTAAATTCCTTTCAAAGTTAGCTTGGCCTGCACCCAGAAATGACCAAGGACAGATTGGAGGTCAGAAACAAGATGGAATCAACTATGAGATTTCTCTTAGCTGTCATAATTTTGCAAAGGCAGTTTCACTCTCTGATTCATACTATCTATGCCTCACTCTTACTCCCCAATATCCCCAAATAAGTCGGGGATCCCACAGCATAAGGATATGGCTAGGCTCTCACATATCATCTTATGAACCTAAGTTAGGTGTCAGGGAAGGTTTTTGATTCCACTTCCCCCCACTCCTGCCTTCTGGATCATCTCTCTTGATATATCATTCATTCATTCATTCATTCAAACAGACCCCTACCTAGGTGATTCTCAAAAGAGTGGGGTCTGGGGCTGGAGGAGGTGTCAGGGTAAACCAGTTACCAAAAGTCTTTCATACTAATACCTTCAAAGGACAAATGCAAATGTAAAAAGGAAGCTGAAAGAATATGCAGTGGGGTTCCAAGATGGCCGAATAGGAACAGCTCCAGTCTACAGCTCCCAGCGTGAGCGACGCAGAAGACGGGTGATTTCTGCATTTCTAACTGAGATACTGAGTTCATCTCACTGGGGATTATCGGACAGTGGGTGCAGGACAGTGGGTGCAGCGCACCGAGCGTGAGCCGAAGCAGGGCAAGGCATCACCTCACCCGGGAAGTGCAAGGGGTCAGGGAATTCCCTTTCCTAGCCAAGGGAAGGGGGGACAAATGGCACCTGGAAAATCGGGTCACTCCCACCCTAATACTGTGCTTTTCCGACAGTCTTAGCAAACAGCACACCAGGAGATTATATCCCACGCCTGGCTCGGAGGGTCCTATGCCCACGGAGCCTCACTCATTTGTAGCACAGCAGTCTGAGATTGAACTGCAACGTGGCAGCGAGGCTGGGGGGGGGGGCACCCGCCATTGCTGAGGCTTGAGTAGATAAACAGAGGGGCCGGGAAGCTCGAACTGGGTGGAGCCCACCACAGCTCAAGGAGGCCTGCCTGCCTCTGTAGACTTCACCTCTGGGGGCAGGGCATAGCCAAACAAAAGGCAGCAGAAACCTCTGCAGACTTAAATGTTCCTGTCTGACAGCTTGGAAGAGAGTAGTGGTTCTCCCAGCATGGAGCTTGAGATCTGAGAACGGACAGACTGCCTCCTCAAGTGGGTCCCTGACCCTCAAGTAGCCTAACTGGGAGGCACCCCACAGTAGGGGCAGACTGACACCTCACACAGCCGGGTACCCCTCTGAGACGAAACTTCCAGAGGAACGATCAGGCAGCAACATTTGCTGTTCAGCAATATTCGCTGTTCTGCAGCCTCTGCTGATACCCAGGCAAACAGGATCTGGAGTGGACCTCCAGCAAACTCCAACAGACCTGCATCTGAGGGTCCTGACTGTTAGAAGGAAAACTAACAAACAGAAAGGACATCCACATCAAAACCCATTTGTACATCAACATCATCAAAGACCAAAAGTAGATAAAACCACAAAGATGGGGAAAAAACAGAGCAGAAAAACTGAAAATTCTAAAAATCAGAGCACCTCTCCTCCTCCAAAGGAACGCAGCTCCTCACCAGCAATGGAACAAAGCTGGATGGAGAATGACTTCGACAAGTTGAGAGAAGAAGGCTTCAGACGATCAAACTTCTCCGAGCTAAAGGAGGAAGTTCAAACCCAACACAAAGAAGTTAAAAACCTTGAAAAAAGATTAGACGAATGGCTAACTAGAATAACCAATGCAGAGAAGTCCTTAAAGGACCTGATGGAGCTGAAAACCATAGCACGAGAACTACATGAAGAATGCACAAGCTTCAGTAGCCGATTTGATCAACTGGAAGAAAGGGTATCAGTGATGGAAGATCAAATGAATGAAATGAAGCCAGAAGAGAAGTTTAGAGAAAAAAGAATAAACCGAAATGAACAAAGCCTCCAAGAAATATGGGACTATGTGAAAAGACCAAATCTGCGTCCGATTGGTGTACCTGAAAGTGACAGGGAGAATGGAACCAAGTTGGAAAGTACTTTGCAGGATATTATCCAGGAGAACTTCCCCAACCTAGCAAGGCAGGCCAACATTCAAATTCAGGAAGTACAGAGAATGCCACAAAGATACTCCTCGAGAAGAGCAACTCCAAAACACGTAATTGTCAGATTCACCAAAGTTGAAATGAAGGAAAAAATGTTAAGGGCAGCCAGAGAGAAAGGTCGGGTTACCCACAAAGGGAAGCCCATCAGACTAACAGCTGATCTCTCGGCAGGAACTCTACAAGCCAGAAGAGAGTGTGGGCCAATATTCAACATTCTTAAAGAAAAGAATCTTCAACCCAGAATTTCATATCCAGCCAAACTAAGCTTCATAAGTGAAGGAGAAATAAAATCCTTTACAGACAAGCAAATGCTGAGAGATTTTGTCACCACCAGGCCTGCCCTAAAAGAGCTCCTGAAGGGAGCACTAAACATGGAAAGGAACAGCCGATACCAGCCTCTGCAAAAACATGCCAGATTCTAAAGACCATGGATGCTAGGCAGAAACTGCATCAACTAACGAGGAAAATCAGCAGCTAACATCATAATGACAGGATCAAATTCACACATAACAATGTTAACCTTAAATGTAAATGGGCTAAATGCCCCAAGTAAAAGACACAGACTGGCAAATTGGATAAAGAGTCAAGACCCACCAGTGTGCTGTATTCAGGAAACCCATCTCACATGCAAAGACACACATAGGCTCAAAATAAAGGGATGGAGGAAGATCTACCAAGCAAATGGAAAACAAAAAAAGGTAGGGGTTGCAATCCTAGTCTCTGATAAAACAGACTTTAAACCAACAAAGATCAAAAGAGACAAAGAAGGCCATTACATAATGGTAAAGGGATCAATTCAACAAGAAGAGCTAACTGTCTTAAATATATATGCACCCAATACAGGAGCACCCAGATTCATAAAGCAAGTCCTGTGTGACCTACAAAGAGACTTAGACTCCCATACAATAATAATGGGAGACTTTAACACCCTACTGTCAACATTAGACAGATCAACGAGACAGAAAGTTAACAAGGATATCCAGGAATTGAACTCAACTCTGCAGCAAGTGGACCTAATAGACATCTATAGAACTCTCCACCCCAAATCAACAGAATATACATTCTTCTCAGCACCACACCACACTTACTCCAAAGTTGACCACATATATGGAAGTAAAGCACTCCTCAGCAAATGCAAAAGAACAGAAATTATAACAAACTGTCTCTCAGACCACAGTGCAATCAAACTAGAACTCAGGATTAAGAAACTCACTCAAAACCGCTCAAATACATGGAAACTGAACAACCTGCTCCTGAATGACTACTGGGTACATAACAAAATGAAGGCAGAAATAAAGATGTGCTTTGAAACCAAGGAGAACAAAGACACAACATACCAGAATCTCTGGGACATGTTTAAAGCAATGTGTAGAGGGAAATTTATAGCACTAAATGCCCACAAGAGAAAGCAGGAAAGATCTAAAATTGACACCCTAACATCACAATTAAAAGAACTAGAGAAGCAAGAGCAAACACATTCAAAAGCTAACAGAAGGCAAGAAATAACTAAGATCAGAGCGGAACTGCAGGAGATACAGACACAAAAAACCCTTCAAAAAATCAATGAATTCAGGAGCTGGTTTTTTGAAAAGGTCAACAAAATTGATAGACCACTAGCAAGACTAATAAAGAAGAAAAGAGAGAAGAATGAAATAGACGCAATAAAAAACGATAAAGGGGATATCACCACCGATCCCACCGAAATACAAACTACCATCAGAGAATAAACACCTCTACACAAATAAACTAGAAAATCTAGAAGAAATGGATAAATTCCTTGACACACACACTCTCCCAAGACTAAACCAGGAAGAAGTTGAATCTCTGAATAGACCAATAACAGGCTCTGAAATTGAGGCAATAATTAATAGCTTACCAACCAAAAAAAGTCCAGGACCAGATGGATTCACAGCCGAATTCTACCAGAGGTACAAGGAGGAGCTGGTACCATTCCTTCTGAAATTATTCCAATCAACAGAAAAAGAGGGAATCCTCCCTAACTCATTTTATGAGGCCAGCATCATCCTGATACCAAAGCCTGGCAGAGACATAACAAAAAAAGAGAATTTTAGATCAATATCCCTGATGAACATCGATGCAAAAATCCTCAATAAAATACTGGCAAACCGAGTCCAGAAGCACATCAAAAAGCTTATCCACCATGATCAAGTGGGCTTCATCCCCAGGATGCAAGGCTGGTTCAACATACATAAATCAGTAAATGTAATCCAACATATAAACAGAACCAACAACAAAAGCCACATAAGATTATCTCAATAGATGCAGAAAAGGCCTTTGACAAAATTCAACAACTCTTCATGCTAAAAAGTCTCAATAAATTAGGTATTGATGGGACGTATCTCAAAATAATAAGAGCCGTTTATGACAAACCCACAGCCAATATCATACTGAATGGGCAAAAACTGGAAGCATTCCCTTTGAAAACTGGCACAAGACAGGGATGCCCTCTCTCACCACTCCTATTCAGCATGGTGTTGGAGGTTCTGGCCAGGGCAATCAGGCAGGAGAAAGAAATAAAAGATATTTAGTTAGGAAAAGAGGAAGTCAAATTGTCCCTGTTTGCAGATGACATGATTGTATATCTAGAAAACCCCATTGTCTCAGCCCAAAATCTCCTTAAGCTGATAAGCAACTTCAGCAAAGTCTCAGGATACAAAATCAATGTGCAAAAATCACAAGCATTCTTATACACCAAATAACAGAGAGCCAAATCATGAGTGAACTCCCATTCACAATTGCTTCAAAGAGAATAAAATACCTAGGAATCCAACTTACAAGGGATGTGAAGGACCTCTTTAAGGAGAAGTACAAACCACTGCTCAACGAAATAAAAGAGGACACAAACAAATGGAAGAACATTCTATGCTCATGGATAGGAAGAATCGATATCTTGAAAATGGCCATACTGCCCAAGGTAATTTATAGATTCAGTGCCATCCCCATCAAGCTACCAATGACTTTCTTCACAGAATTGGAAAAAACTACTTTAGAGTTCATATGGAAGCAAAAAAGAGCCCGCCTTGCCAAGTCAATCCTAAGCTAAAAGAACAAAGCTGGAGGCATCACGCTACCTGACTTCAAACTATACTACAAGGCTACAGTAACCAAAACAGCATGGTACTGGTACCAAAACAGAGATATAGAACAATGGAACAGAACGGAGCCCTCAGAAGTAATACCACACATCTACAACTATCTGATCTTTGACAAAACTGATAAAAACAAGAAATGGGGAAAGGATTCCCTATTTAACAAATGGTGCTGGGAAAACTGGCTAGCCATATGTAGAAAGCTGAAACTGGATCCCTTCCTTACACCTTATACAAAAATTAATTCAAGATGGATTAAAGACTTAAATGTTAGACCTAAAACCATAAAAACCCTAGAAGAAAACCAAGGCAATACCATTCAGGACATAGGCATGGGCAAGGACTTCATGTCTGAAACACCAAAAGCAATGGCAACAAAAGACAAAATTGACAAAAGGGAGCTAATTAAACTGAAGAGCTTCTGCATAGCAAAAGAAACTACCATCAGAGTGAACAGGCAACCTACAGAATGGGAGAAAATTTTTGCAATCTACTCATCTGACAAAGGGCTAATACCCAGAATCTACAAAGAACTCAAACAAATTTACAAGAAAAAAACAACCCCATCAACAAGTGGGCAAAGGATATGAACAGACACTTCTCAAAAGAAGACATTTATGCAGCCAACAGACACATGAAAAAATGCTCATCATCACTGGCCATCAGAGAAATGCAAATCAAAACCATGATAAGATACCATCTCACACCAGTTAGAATGGCGATCATTAAAAAGTCAGGAAACAACAGGTGCTGGAGAGGATGTGGAGAAATAGGAACACTTTTACACTGTTGGTGGGACAGTAAACTGGTTCAACCATTGTGGAAGACAGTGTGGCGATTCCTCTGGGATCTAGAACTAGAAATACCATTTGACCCAGTGATCCCATTACTGGGTATATACCCAAAGGATTATAAGTCATGCTGCTATAAAGACACATGCACATGTATGTTTATTGTGGCACTATTCACAATAGCAAAGACCTGGAACCAACCCAGATGTCCATCAGTGATAGACCGGATTAAGAAAATGTGGCACATATACACCATGAAATATTATGCAGCCATAAAAAAGGATGAGTTCATGTCCTTTGTAGGGACATGGATGAAGCTGGAAACCATCATTCTCAGCAAACTATCTCAAGGACAGAAAACCAAACATCGCATGTTCTCACTCATAGGTGGGAACTGAACAATGAGAACACTTGGTCACAGGAAGGGGGACATCACACACCGGGGCCTGTTGTGGGATGGGAGCAAGGGGGAGGCGTAGCATTGGTAGATATACCTAATGTAAATGATGAGTTAATGGGTACAGCACACCAACATGGCACATGTATACATATGTAACAAACCTGCATGTTGTGCACATGTACCCTAGAGCTTAAAATATAATAATAAAAAAAATAAGTAAATAAAAAAGAATATGCAGTGCTGCTCTTCACTGTAGAAAGAGCCTGAGAATTATCTTGAACTCCAAATCCTGTACCTTTTTTCATCACAGTTGTGTATGGGTTTTATCTACTACTAGTTTTTTTCCAAGCCTTTTCACATCTTGACACATAGTAAATTTGACCAAGAAAAGATGAAAGGAAACATAAAAGAATGTGTTCTTGGCTGGAGATGACCTACTCTTGGGGTCTAGCTGCCCCAAAGACTGAGAGGATTGTTAACTCTGACACCTATAACCCATTCATGATTTAGTTGGTAAGCAGATCTGCCCATTTCTTTCTTCTTCATTGCCAGATCTCAGTTCATGCACTAGTTATGCCCTGCTTCCACTTCATCTAAGAATAATTCTGTGTCGCAATATACCATAATTATATATTAATCTTCTCATATTTGCATTAGAACTTTAAGATTATTGGGCTACTTAAACTTCGTAACTCCCCTCGTTACATCTTTTTTTTCCCTGAAAACATTTGTCATTTCTCTCCCAACCACTGCCTCATTTTAATTTACTATCTCTGCAATACTTTTTCTTTTCTTTTCCATTAGAGATGATATGCTGTCTTCTTTAGGAAACTTTACCTAAGTGTAAGTAAGGAAATGAATGCTATCCTCCCTAGTGTTTTTATTATGATAGCTAAAATGTAACATATAAAAAGAAGTGTATATAGAAACAATATTTTTGTTTTAGTTCTATGCCATATCTCTCTATAGGTTATTTTTTATATTTTTAAACGTTTATTTTTTGAAGGTTGGAACCAGATATGTGAGTTTAAGGGGCTTTAAACTCTTTTAAAAATCTTTTTTTTTTATATTTCAAATTCTGTTTTATTGTAAAAGTTCCTGCAGAACAGAAAAGTTTTATTTAAATAGTTTTCTGTTTTCTTGAGCATTGTGCAGTGTATTTTTAGTATACTTAGCATACTTACTATTACTTGATGTTAATTCAGCCAATTTTAGGCTGGTGGGGAAGATGATTCATGTACACTAACAGTTATAATGCAAAATAGAAACTAGTAAAAGCCTCAAGGTTAGTTGCCTCTCCTTGTGCTTCCATAGTAACCCGTGCTTATTCCTTCATTGCAACTATACTGTATTGTTATTGCCTCTATATTTATCTCTGATAGAGTCCATCATAAACTAGAACAGTGGTTCTTAATTGATGTGGGGGTGGTAAGGAATGGGGCTTGCGCATTTTGGAAAACATCTTCTCATATTCTTTTTCAGGTACATCACTCTCTCCACCACTATCACTACTGCCCTTCTTCTTTTGAAAACTCCTGTACTCACCTTTAAGCCCTTCAAAATTAGGGAAGTGTATCTTATTTGTCATTTTATCTCTAGTGCTTAGCATTTTTTTTTGGCATCTGTGCCCATTAAGGTAGACAGTAACTGTTTATTTGTTGCAGGAAGGTAAAACTAGGTTGGAGGTGGAGGGAGCACTTCTAACCTGGAAGAATATTGAAGACTTCCTTGAAGAAGTGTCATTTGAGAGGAGCTATGAAAAGAAAGTAAACTGGTTTTATGGAAGTAAATGAGAACATTGCAGACAAGAGGTAATGGGCAAAAACACAGAGGCAGGAAAGTGTAGGATGTATTCCAGGAATACTCATGCAAAAACCATAGACTATGTGAAGTGTGAGAAAGCTTATAGTAAATTTGCCTGTATTCAGTCAGATTGTGAATACCCCTTTATACCATTATATGTAATTTGAACTATTTGTAGGTGGTAGGGAACTATTGAAAAGTTTTGATTGTGGTGTAACTTGATTTATCTGTCAGCAACTTGATACATCTGTCAGTGTATAGGTAAGATTGTGGATACAGAGAAAGTGGAGACAGGGACATCAGTTAAAATTAGGACATTAGGTACAATTAGAGTTTAGAATGACAGTGAAGAAGGAAGGAATTGATGCAAGAGGTATTTTAAAGGTAAAATCAACATACTATGGCTTCTTTTTTTCAGTGTCACATTATTCATTTTTAAGTGGTTACTGAATATTCCTAATGAAGCGGTAGTGCTAGTGAAAAGGAACATTTTGATAGGCGAATCTTTCTCTTTTGTGACTGAATTGCCTTGGCATTTATAGAAAATAAATAATGAAGTTAATTGGATATCATCTTGATAATAAAAATGTAATTAAGTTTTTGATATTATGGTTTGGAGGTTTATTTTATAAGAATTAGTTGTAAACTAGAGAAGAAAGAACAAGATATTAATTTAGATTTTATGCCTGTAGTAGCTTATATAGGCAGGCCTATTATGTGTTCTTTCCCATTTATTAATTTGGGCTTAGAAGAAGCTGAGTTATGGCCTACTCTGAGTGCCACTTTAGATTTCACTAGGAATCAGCATAGAATACATTAATGCACTGTTTAATACAAGTACAAGAACTTGAGTTGAAATCTTGAAAATGAAGGGCAGTCTCCTTGTTAATCTTGTGAGCTGCCCTCATCAGAGTATAGGTTGAGCATCCCAAATCTGAAAATTCAAAATCTGAAATGCTCCAAAATCTGCAACTTTTGCGTGCTAATATGATGCTGAAAGGAATGTTCATTGGAGCATTTCAGAATTTTGGATTAGGGATGTTCAACTGGTAAGTGTAATCCAAATATTCTGGAATCCTAAGAAGTCCAAAATACTTTTGGTCCCAAGCATTTTGGATAAGGGATACTAAACCTCTATTTGATAATTGTATTTCCATGGGTTTTAACTGAATACAAAAACTAATACCATCATCAATGTTGATTGATATTGTTTTCACAGTTTTGGGAGATACAAAATAATTATGATTTATTAGGTTATCTTTGCTTAATATACATTACTGATCAGGTGAATTGTTCACATCACTATTGGTATTATTTCTCTTAAGTAGTTTCTTGAGACTGTATATATATATATATATATATTTTAGTGTTTGCTTTATATAGTCATCAGCTCTGGCAGCTCATTTGGATTGTTTTAAAACCCCAAACCAAGACTTGATTTTAAGATGGTAAAGACATTTGTGCCCTATTCTATCTGAAATTACCATGAAACAACAAGGAAACTGAGAGAAAGAGATGTAATTACATCTTTGCTGAGACTAGAAGACCTGTAACTCCAAACTGAAATATTTGAGAAATGGCAGCCACATGTAAGCAGGAAGAGGTTAAAAGAGAATGCTGGTAGAAAGAGATCTCAGATAGAGCTGGCAGAGCAAAGAGTCCTCTTCTGTTTGCAGTGGGATCAGGATGCATAGAAAGGCAATGGGAATTTCCTTGGATTGTTTGGCAACATGAACTAGCAAGAAAGGAAGAGTGAATGAGGAAGTGCACAGATACCCCATCTTTGCAGGAAGCACTCTCTTGCTGAGGCAAAGTAGAGGAGAGATAGTGAGTGGCCCTTTGCTGCCTGTCTCTGACATCTGGAAGAAGTAATGTTTAAATGCTTTTCCCACTTGTTCTCATACACATTCTCTGCCTTTCTCACATATACACATGTACAAAATACTCTGTCAGAAAGAGTTTTCTTGTATACCAGAGACTACCCTCTAGTCTAGAATACACCCTTATTTCTTTCTTCCATAGTTAAGGCGTAAATTATATTCCCGTTTAGAAAAGTAGATGAGGACTGGGTGCCGTGGCTCATGCCTGTAATCCCAGCACTTTGGGAGGCTGAGGCAGGTGGGTTGCTTGAGGTGAGGAGTTCGTGACCAGCCTGACCACCACAGAAAAACCCCGTCTAAACTAAATATACAAAAATTAGCCGAGTGTGGTGGCAGGCACCTGTAATCCCAGTTACTCGGGAGGCTGAGATAGGAGAATTGCTTGAACCCAGGAGGTGAAGGTTGCAGTGAACTGAGATCGTGCCACTGCACTCCATCCAGCCTGAGTGACAGAGGGAGACTCTGTCTCAAAAAAAAAAATGCTTAATTGTAGTTCTGAAAATAGAGAATTCAATGTTATAACAGAAAAAATATTTAAGAAAACCTTCTGCAAAGAAAAGACATCTTTAGGTCAGGCTCAGTAGTAGCTCACACCTGTAATTCCAGCACTTTGGGAGGCTAAGGCAGGAGGTTCTCTTGAGGCTGGGAGTTTAAGACCAGCTTGGGCAACATAGCAAGACCCTGTCTTTACAAATAAATTTTTAAAAAATTAGCTGGGCATGGTGGCACATACTTTTACTCATGGCTACTCAGGAGGCTGAGATAGGAAGATCACTTAAGTGTGGGAGTTTCGGGTTACAATGAGCTATGATTGCACCATTATACTTCAGCCTGGACGACAAAGTGAGACCCTGTCTCAAAAAAAAAAAAATCTTTATTCTACAGATTGAAAGGAAACACACTGAATGAGGAAAAACTAACATACGGTCATCAACATCCTTGTATAACCTAGTTTTTAAAAAAATTGGATTTCAAAGGTAAGGAATGCATTCTTTGCTCATCCCAATAAAAAGATTAAATTACCTATCAGGAGTTGGTTTGGGAAATCAGATATTGTCAAGGGAATATTTAGCACTACAGGACAATGGTACAAAGTGTGTAAGTCATTGGGGAAAGACAGTGTAACCTCAAAGCCAAATTGACAACTATTTTTGAACAAGGCAAAAGCTCAAGGTAAGTGGTACCCCTAAGTTCTTTTTGATAAACTGCAAGAAGATGAATATCAGTCATACAGTAGATGAACAGAGATGATATAGCAAATGGATTGGCAGGGAACATTGTAGGAATAAGACCAAAATAACTATGAGATTTGTAGTTATAGAATACAATAGAACTGTAACATGTAGAAATAATTAATAAAAGTCAAGATTGAAAGAGGAGAGAAGACAGAATGTAGTATAAATTTGTTGGTTTCTTCTTATTTTATAGCTGGAGAACAAAAGACATATAAACCTTAGATATCAAGCATAAGAGAGGTGTCAGTATATTTGAAGGATTGAAGGAATAAATGTAAGCATTTGAAGAACTAAATGTGTTTAACCAAAATCAAACAGTGGAGACAAGGTAGGAAGAAGTAGAACTGTATTAAATTTCTTATCCTAAAGGAATAATCAGAGATGAGACCTAAGATGAAAGAACAAAATGTTTATTGTGGCATTCTTTACAGTTGAAAAAACTGAAAACATACATGGAGTATAAATAAAAACTGACCACATCCTAGATCACACACAAACTTGAAAAGCAACAAAGAGCTGTCTTACAGGCCATGTTCCTTGACTAAAAACGGTCTCAGTTTCTCCTTTGGAAGTGGTTCTCAGCATTGTCAGCAGCACCAGCATCATTTGGGAACTTGTCAGAAATGAAAATTCTGAGGTCTCATACCGGATTTACTGAATCAGAAACTGGAGGAGAAAAGCACCTCTCAACCTTGTTGGTCAGTTTTTATAAATATCCTATTTATGTTTTCAGTTATTTACAGTTATAAAAAAAAGTGATAATAAACATTTTTGTTTTTTCATCATTGGTCTCATATTTGATTATTTCTTTAGCATAGACAATGACCAGATCAAAGAATGCCTGTGGAAATTTAATTTTTTCTTTGTTCTATTGTTGGTTATTACAGGTACAAAATTAAAGAGGTTTTTGTTTCTTTAAAAATATCTTTTTTGTTCACAGAAAACAAAATTATCTTCCTTTCCAAATCCAAAAAGATGAAAACGACTGAGATACTTTCAAAAGACAACCAAGTGAGCAGCACAGACTAATGAGTAGAATCAATAAGAACGTGGTTTTGGCCCTTTTAACGCTGACAAGTTCTGCATTTCTGCTGTTTCAGTTGTACTACTACAAGCACTATTTATCAACAAAGGTAATTTTATTCCTTCTTTCTTATCATTCCTCCTTTCTTATCATTGTATATTTTCTGATCACACTTCTCTTTGCAATACATAATATTAATCATGGGTATTCAAATTCTTGCATCTTTGCGAGGTGTGGCAAACAATTAAAAATTCAGTTAAATATACTTGTAATAGCACACTAAAGACAGGTGCTAAGTTTCAAGGATGTTTAATCTATTGGAATTTCCTGAGCTAGTTATTTAAAAATTATTATTTTGTTAAACAGATTATCCTTCATTTAAATGAACTCAATGATAAATAATTTTGATAAAATGTCAAAATTAGTTTATTTTAGTACAGCATATATTTTAATTTAGTACCTACTGGGGAAGTATAATGGTATGACTTACCTTTATCTGTATGTATAGGAATAAAGTAGAGACAATGATGTGGAAATCAATAGCTTCTGAAGATTCCGTAGAATATACCAGATAAGGAATTCCAAAGTTGAGATGGTGTTGTTACATTGTGAAAAGTTGCCAAACACTCCCTCTGGGGTGTATTATAATAATTACTACCATCACTGATAATTGTACTAGATGCTTTCCATGCTCAGTTTAGTCCTAAAAACAATCATGGGGAAGAAAAAAAATTTTTTTTGTTTTTATGTTTTTATCCTCATGTCTTAATTAGAACTATTCATCAGAATTAATCACTTTGCGCCCCTCCTCAACTAGAATGGAGTATACTTCCCTGCCTTTTTTATGTTGGGCTTGACCAGTAGAATGTTAACAGACATGTGCAGAAGCTTTGAATAGGCTGTTGTGATTTGACTTAGTTTTTATGCTCCCCTGACCTATAGGAGAAGAGAAAAATGTATGGAGCAGACCAAAGCATAGCTGCCCAGCTGACTCACAGATTTGTGAGGGAGGAAATAGATGCTTATAAGCCATAAGACTGGGGGAAGTTTATTATGCAGCATTGTTACATGGAGTTATTAGACCTAATTTTGACAGATAAGAAAACTGAAACTTTTCTTTTTTTTTTTTTTTTAATTAATTTATTTTTTTTATTATACTTTAAGTTTTAGGGTACATTTGCACATTGTGCAGGTTAGTTACATATGTATACATTTGCCGTGCTGGTGTGCTGCACCCACTAACTCGTCATCTAGCATTAGGTATATCTCCCAATGCTATCCCTCCCCACTCCCACCACCCCACAACAGTCCCCAGAGTGTGATATTCCCCTTCCTGTGTCCATGTGATCTCATTGTTCATTTCCCACCTATGAGTGAGAATATGCGGTGTTTGGTTTTTTGTTCTTACGATAGTTTACTGAGAATGATGATTTCCAATTTCATCCATGTCCCTACAAAGGACGTGAACTCATCATTTTTTATGGCTGCATAGTATTCCATGGTGTATATGTGCCACATTTTCTTAATCCAGTCTATCATTGTTGGACATTTGGGTTGGTTCCAAGTCTTTGCTATTGTGAATAATGCCGCAATAAACATACGTGTGCATGTGTCTTTATAGCAGCATGATTTATAGTCATTTGGGTATATACCCAGTAATGGGATGGCTGGGTCAAATGGTATTTCTAGTTCTAGATCCCTGAGGAATCGCCACACTGACTTCCACAATGGTTGAACTAGTTTACAGTCCCACCAACAGTGTAAAAGTGTTCCTGTTTCTCCACATCCTCTCCAGCACCTGTTGTTTCCTGACTTTTTAATGATTGCCATTCTAACTGGTGTGAGATGGTATCTCATTGTGGTTTTGATTTGCATTTCTCTGATGGCCAGTGATGATGAGCATTTTTTCATGTGTCTTTTGGCTGCATAAATGTCTTCTTTTGAGAAGTGTCTGTTCATGTCCTTCGCCCACTTTTTGATGGGGTGGTTTGTTTTTTTCTTGTAAATTTGTTTGAGTTCATTGTAGATTCTGGATATTAGCCCTTTGTCAGATGAGTAGGTTGCAAAAATTTTCTCCCATTTTGTAGGTTGCCTGTTCACTCTGATGGTAGTTTCTTTTGCTGTGCAGAAGCTCTTTATTTTAATTAGATCCCATTTGTCAATTTTGTCTTTTGTTGCTATTGCTTTTGGTGTTTTGGACATGAAGTCCTTGCCCATGCCTATGTCCTGAATGGTAATGCCTAGGTTTTCTTCTAGGGTTTTTATGGTTTTAGGTCTAACGTTTAAATCTTTAATCCATCTTGAATTGATTTTTGTATAAGGTGTAAGGAAGGGATCCAGTTTCAGCTTTCTACATATGGCTAGCCAGTTTTCCCAGCACCATTTATTAAATAGGGAATCCTTTCCCCATTTCTTGTTTTTCTCAGGTTTGTCAAAGATCAGATAGTTGTAGGTATGCGGCATTATTTCTGAGGGCTCTGTTCTGTTCCATTGATCTATATCTCTGTTTTGGTACCAGTACCATGCTGTTTTGGTTACTGTAGCCTTGTAGTATAGTTTGAAGTCAGGTAGCGTGATGCCTCCAGCTTTGTTCTTTTGGCTTAGGATTGACTTGGCGATGCGGGCTCTTTTTTGGTTCCCTATGAACTTTAAAGTAGTTTTTTCGAATTCTGTGAAGAAAGTCATTGGTAGCTTGATGGGGATGGCATTGAATCTGTAAATTACCTTGGGCAGTATGGCCATTTTCACAATATTGATTCTTCCTACCCATGAGCATGGAATGTTCTTCCATTTGTTTGTATCCTCTTTTATTTCCTTGAGCAGTGGTTTGTAGTTCTCCTTGAAGAGGTCCTTCACATCCCTTGTAAGTTGGATTCCTAGGTATTTTATTCTCTTTGAAGCAATTATGAATAGGAGTTCACTTATGATTTGGCTCTCTGTTTGTGTGTTGTTGGTGTATAAGAATGCTTGTGATTTTTGCACATTGATTTTGTATCTTGAGACTTTGCTGAAGTTGCTTATCAGCTTAAGGAGATTTTAGGCTGAGACAATGGGGTTTTCTAGATATACAATCATGTCGTCTGCAAACAGGGACAGTTTGACTTCCTCTTTTCCTAATTGAATACCCTTTATTTCCTTCTCCTGCCTAATTGCCCTGGCCAGAACTTCCAACACTATGTTGAATAGGAGTGGTGAGAGAGGACATCCCTGTCTTGTGCCAGTTTTCAAAGGGAATGCTTCCAGTTTTTGCCCATTCAGTATGATATTGGCTGTGGGTTTGTCATAGATAGCTCTTATCATTTTGAAATACGTCCCATCAATACCTAATTTATTGAGAGTTTTTAGCATGAAGGGTTGTTGAATTTTGTCAAAGGCTTTTTCTGCATCTATTGAGATAATCATGTGGTTTTTGTCTTTGGCTCTGTTTATATGCTGGATTACATTTATTGATTTGCGTATATTGAACCAGCCTTGCATCCCAGGGATGAAGCCCACTTGATCATGGTGGATAAGCTTTTTGATGTGCTGCTGGATTCGGTTTGCCAGTATTTTATTGAGGATTTTTGCATCAATGTTCATCAAGAATATTGGTCTAAAATTCTCTTTTTTTGTTGAGTCTCTGCCCGGCTTTGGTATCAGAATGATGCTGGCCTCATAAAATGAGTTAGGGAGGATTCCCTCTTTTTCTATTGATTGGAATAGTTTCAGAAGGAATGGTACCAGCTCCTCCTTGTACCTCTGGTAGAATTCGGCTGTGAATCCATCTGGTCCTGGACTTTTTTTGGTTGGTAAGCTATTAATTATTGCCTCAATTTCAGAGCCTGTTATTGGTCTATTCAGAGATTCAACTTCTTCCTGGTTTAGTCTTGGGAGAGTGTATGTGTCAAGGAATTTATCCATTTCTTCTAGATTTTCTAGTTTATTTGTGTAGAGGTGTTTATTCTCTGATGGTAGTTTGTATTTCAGTGGGATCGGTGGTGATATCCCCTTTATCGTTTTTTATTGCGTCTATTTCATTCTTCTCTCTTTTCTTCTTTATTAGTCTTGCTAGTGGTCTATCAATTTTGTTGACCTTTTCAAAAAACCAGCTCCTGGATTCATTGATTTTTTGAATGGTTTTTTGTGTCTGTATCTCCTGCAGTTCTGCTCTGATCTTAGTTATTTCTTGCCTTCTGTTAGCTTTTGAATGTGTTTGCTCTTGCTTCTCTAGTTCTCTTAATTGTGATGTTAGGGTGTCAATTTTAGATCTTTCCTGCTTTCTCTTGTGGGCATTTAGTGCTATAAATTTCCCTCTACACATTGCTTTAAACATGTCCCAGAGATTCTGGTATGTCGTGTCTTTGTTCTCGTTGGTTTCAAAGAACATCTTTATTTCTGCCTTCATTTCGTTATGTACCCAGTAGTCATTCAGGAGCAGGTTGTTCAGTTTCCATGTAGTTGAGCGGCTTTGAGTGAGTTTCTTAATCCTGAGTTCTAGTTTGATTGCACTGTGGTCTGAGAGATAGTTTGTTATAATTTGTGTTCTTTTACATTTGCTGAGGAGAGCTTTACTTCCAAGTATGTGGTCAATTTTGGAATAGGTGTGGTGTGGTGCTGAAAAAAATGTATATTCTGTTGATTTGGGGTGGAGAGTTCTGTAGATGTCTATTAGGTCCGCTTGGTGCAGAGCTGAGTTCAATTCCTGGGTATCCTTGTTGACTTTCTGTCTCGTTGATCTGTCTAATGTTGACAGTGGGGTGTTAAAGTCTCCCATTATTAATGTGTGGGAGTCTAAGTCTCTTTGTAGGTCACACAGGACTTGCTTTATGAATCTGGGTGCTCCTGTATTGGGTGCATATATATTTAGGCTAGTTAGCTCTTCTTGTTGAATTGATCCCTTTACCATTATGTAATGGCCTTCTTTGTCTCTTTTGATCTTTGTTGGTTTAAAGTCTGTTTTATCAGAAACTAGGATTGCAACCCCTGCCTTTTTTTGTTTTCCATTTGCTTGGTAGATCTTCCTCCATCCTTTTATTTTGAGCCTATGTGTGTCTCTGCACGTGAGATGGGTTTCCTGAATACAGCATACTGGTGGGTCTTGACTCTTTATCCAATTTGCCAGTCTGTGTCTTTTAATTGGAGAATTTAGTCCATTTACATTTAAAGTTAATATTGTTATGTGTGAATTTGATCCTGTCATTATGATGTTAGCTGCTGATTTTCCTCGTTAGTTGACGCAGTTTCTTCCTAGTCTCGACGGTCTTTACATTTTGGCATGATTTTGCAGCAGCTGGTACCGGTTGTTCCTTTCCATGTTTAGTGCTTCCTTCAGGAGCTCTTTTAGGGCAGGCCTGGTGGTGACAAAATCTCTCAGCATTTGCTTGTCTGTAAAGTATTTAATTTCTCCTTCACTTATGAAGCTTAGTTTGGCTGGATATGAAATTCTGGGTTGAAAATTCTTTTCTTTAAGAATGTTGAATATTGGCCCCCACTCTCTTCTGGCTTGTAGGGTTTCTGCCAAGAGATCCGCTGTTAGTCTGATGGGCTTCCCTTTGAGGGTAACCCGACCTTTCTCTCTGGCTGCCCTTAACATTTTTTCCTTCATTTCAACTTTGGTGAATCTGACAATTATGTGTCTTGGAGTTGCTCTTCTCGAGGAGTATCTTTGTGGCGTTCTCTGTATTTCCTGAATCTGAACGTTGGCCTGCCTTGCTAGATTGGGGAAGTTCTCCTGGATAATATCCTGCAGAGTGTTTTCCAACTTGGTTCCATTCTCCCCATCACTTTCAGGTACACCAATCAGACGTAGATTTGGTCTTTTCACATAGTCCCATATTTCTTGGAGGCTTTGCTCATTTCTTTTTATTCTTTTTTCTCTAAACTTCCCTTCTCGCTTCATTTCATTCATTTCATCTTCCATTGCTGATACCCTTTCTTCCAGTTGATCGCATCGGCTCCTGAGGCTTCTGCATTCTTCACGTAGTTCTCGAGCCTTGGTTTTCAGCTCCATCAGCTCCTTTAAGTACTTCTCTGTATTGGTTATTCTAGTTATACATTCTTCTCAATTTTTTTCAAAGTTTTTAACTTCTTTGCCTTTGGTTTGAATGTCCTCCCGTAGCTCAGAGTAATTTGATCGTCTGAAGCCTTCTTCTCTCAGCTCGTCAAAGTCATTCTCCATCCAGCTTTGTTCCGTTGCTGGTGAGGAACTGCGTTCCTTTGTAGGAGGAGAGGCGCTCTGCGTTTTAGAGTTTCCAGTTTTTCTGTTCTGTTTTTTCCCCATCTTTGTGGTTTTATCTACTTTTGGTCTTTGATGATGGTGATGTACAGATGGGTTTTCGGTGTGGATGTCCTTTCTGTTTGTTAGTTTTCCTTCTAACAGACAGGACCCTCAGCTGCAGGTCTGTTGGAGTACCCTGCCTTGTGAGGTGTCAGTGTGCCCCTGCTGCGGGGTGCCTCCCAGTTAGGCTGCTCGGGGGTCAGGGGTCAGGGACCCACTTGAGGAGGCAGTCTGCCGGTTCTCAGATCTCCAGCTGCGTGCTGGGAGAACCACTGCTCTCTTCAAAGCTGTCAGACAGGGACATTGAAGTCTGCAGAGGTTACTGCTGTCTTTTTGTTTGTCTGTGCCCTGCCCCCAGAGGTGGAGCCTACAGAGGCAGGCAGGCCTCCTTGAACTGTGGTGGGCTCCATGCAGTTCGAGCTTCCCGGCTGCTTTGTTTACCTAAGCAAGCCTGGGCAATGGCGGGCGCCCCTCCCCCAGCCTCGCTGCCGCCTTGCAGTTTGATCTCAGACTGCTGGGCTAGCAATCAGCGAGATTCCGTGGGCGTAGGACCCTCCGAGCCAGGTGTGGGATATAGTCTCGTGGTGCACTGTTTTTTAAGCCGGTCTGAAAAGCGCAATATTCGGGTGGGAGTGACCCGATTTTCCAGGTGTGTCCGTCACCCCTTTCTTTGACTCAGAAAGGGAACTCCCTGACACCTTGCGCTTCCCAGGTGAGGCAATGCCTCGCCCTGCTTCGGCTCGCGCACGGTGCGCGCACCCACTAGCCTGCGCCCACTGTCTGGCACTCCCTAGTGAGATGAACCCGGTACCTCAGATGGAAATGCAGAAATCACCCGTCTTCTGCGTCGCTCATGCTGGGAGCTGTAGACCGGAGCTGTTCCTATTCGGCCATCTTGGCTCCTACCCGAAACTTTTCTTTTTTTAAGAGAGGATCTCGCTTCGTCACCCAGGCTGAAGTACAGTGGCATAATCATAGCTCACTGTAACCTTGAATCTGGGGCTCAAGCAGTACTCCTGCCTCAATCTCCTGAGTTGTTAGGAGGACTACAGGCACATGCCATCACGCCTGACTAATTAAAAAAAATTTTTTGTAGAGACGGGGTCTCGCTGTGTTGCCCAGGCTGGTCTTGAACTCCTGGCCTCAGGCAGTTCTGTCACCTCAGGCTCCCAAAGTGCTGGGATTACAAGTATGGGCTACTGCAACTGGCCTGGAAAACCAAAATTGTTAACAGAGATGTGAAATAATTTACCCATACAAACCACCCAATATCTAATGTGTATAGCTGACCTCTAATGTCCCTAGCTCCATTTTTTCCAGGCTATATAATTTTAAAAATAACAGACTATACTGATTCTACTTTTGATCTTGGCTGTTTATCCAATGAATGTCTTTCTGTGACATCTTCAACCCTTTCCTCATTATTTTCTTAGGATAAAGTCCTAGAGTAGAAATTCTAGATCTAATATGCACATTTTAGATTTTTGTTATATATTACAAAGTTATCCTTCATAAGGATAAGCAGTATACCTGATTTCTCATATCTTTTCATAAATAGGAATAACAATAATAATGGCATCTGTTTCAGTTAGAGATGGCTGGCTAATAGTAGCTTAAACAAATAGAGGAATTATCTGTCCATATCTATAAGTCTAGAGCCTCTAAAATTCTCTTGGTATTTCCTGTGTTACAGTCAAGGCTAGAAGGAATAATAGTGTGATCTAGCAGGCTTCTAGTTTTGTGACAGTGGCCAGCAGATTCCCAAATATAAGAGAATCTGGGGAAGTAAGGTTTTACTATTGTTATTTAGCTTTTCTAGCCTCTATAATAGAGATTGCAAAAGAGAAGGGGTTTGGGAATGGGTGTCAGGTCAGCTTACCTATAGTGCCTGCCATAGCAGCTAACATTTTTTGATGTGCTTGATTGAGCAGGCCCTATGCGAAGCACTTTACCAACATTTAATTCTTAAAACAAGTTGAGTAGATCTTGTTCTTCCTGTTTTTCCAGCAAAAACATTGAGGTTTTGAGAGACTTACTAATTTTCCCAATATCACATAGTTATTAAGTGGGGGAGATGAACCTGAGGAGTCTACCCCAAAACCTCATTCATTAATTTTTAGTGTTCGTAATATTCAGAAACTGAAAGCTATTCAACTCCATTAGAGGTCGTTTCTTTGATTACTAGTGGGGTTAAACATCTTTCCATATGTATATTGGTTCTTTTTAGTTGTATTCTTACTTCTTCTTATTTGTGTCTTTCATATATGTTCCTGATGATGTTGTCTTTTTCTGTAGCTGTTCTTTATAGTTTGAAGAATATTAAACCTTCATCATATATATTTCAAATATTTTTCCTGACTTGTAATTTGCCTTTTAACTTTATATTCATGATGTACTCCCTCAATAAATTAGTACTTAATGTATAAATAGACAGATGTCAAAATCTGTTTTCCTTAGGGCATCTGTTTTTTATGTTATAAGTAGCCCAAGATTATGGGAATATTTAACTGTATTTTTGTCTATTTAATGTTTAAATTTTTTCACTAAAATGAATTTATTTTAGTATGAGGTATGAATTAGACATCTAACTTACATTTTTCCACAATGATTAACCAATTGTCCCAATATCCCTTATTGAATTACCCATTACTTTAAAAATCCCATCTTAATTATATATTAAATTCTAATAAAGAACTGCTGTCTCAACCCTTTTCCCTTGGTGGCAGTGTAACATAGTTGTTGAGAGCATGAACATCAGTTTGAGATTAAACCTCATCTATACTGCTTATTAGCTGTGGGATCTTGAGTTAATTACTTGACTTCTAAATGCCTTTGTTTCCTTATCTACAAAATGGGAGGCAATAACAGTACCACCTCATAGACTTGTGAAGCTTAAATGAATTGATATACATAAACTATTTGGAACAATGCATGTTATACAGAAAGAAACCAGTAAAAATTGGCTATTATTATTATTTTTTAATTTTATAATGAAAAATAGTATTTGTTGTATTGTGTCCATACCATACAAACTGCCTTAGTAATAATGCCTTATTCATTAAAGAAAATATAATCTTTGAACAGAAGTGGTATGTAATTAAAGTTCAGGTAACCTTTATATACCATTAATTTTGTAAAGTTCATTATTCATACTAGATTCTTGTTTTTTATGTTTACTTTTGATAATAGGTAGACATTATAACATCTAAGTTCTAAAATATCACAGATTATTTTTATTTTATTGAAATATATGGAGTGGGTGCAGTGGCTCACACCTGTAGTCCCAGAATTTGGGGACACTGAGGTGTGCAGATTGCTTGAGCCCAAGAGTTTGAAACCAGCCATGGCACCATGGCAAAACCCCATTTCTACAAAAAATACAAATATTAGCCCAGCATGGTGGCGTGTGCCTGTAGTCCCAGCTATTCAAGAGGCTGAGGTGAGAGGATCACTTGAGCTTGGGAGATTCAAGGCTGCAGTGAGCTGTCATTGCGCCACTGCACTCCAGCCTGGGTGACGGGGAGATCGTGTCTTAAAATTTTTTTTTTTTAACATATGGAAATTATATTAAACCGTTTGTAGCCCAGTAATTGTATCCTTTAAAATGGAATTTTTAAATTTACTCATGAGTTCAGAAACTGTTATTTAAAAGTCACAATTTGTAGAGTATTTTGCCAAGGCAATAGAAACAATGAGGTGGTTTCTTCCTGCCCAATATTTATAATTTAATTTGGGACAGATGCTGATGAGAGTATAGATGCTTCCTGTATGTTATAGTGTGAAAACAGGATACTGTCTGTAAGGAATACAAGCAGTTTCTCTATGCCAGTAGGAAAAAAAAATGCTTTATTTAAAAATAGTAAGGAGACCAGGTGCCTGCCTGTAATCCCAGCACTTTGGGAGGCTTAGGCGAGAGGATCGCTTGAGCCCAGGAATTCAAGACCAGCCTGGGCAACATAGTAAGATCTCATCTCTGCTAAAAATAAGAAAATTAGCTGGTTGTGGTGGTGCACGCCTGTAGTCCTAGCTACTTGGGACACTGAGGTGAGAGAATCCCTCTGAGCCCAGGAGTTTGAGTTTACAGTGAGCTAAGATCTGCACTCCAGGATGGACAAGAGAGGGAGACCCTGTCTCAAAAAATAAATAAATAAATATGTACATATGTAAAATAAAAATAGTAAGGATAGTTAGACTAATTAGATGCTAAAGATACCAACTTTTAAATTTATTTCAGTGTCATTGTGGAAAATTTTGAAGCTTTTGGGTTTTTGTTAAACTTATAAATCTCACTTACACGCAGCGTTTTTGAACTCAAAGTTTAGTGAAGTATAGATGCATCCTCAGTTTTCTAATGGTTTTCTTCTGACATAGGAAGAGAACCTGAACTATTGTTAACTTTGTTTACCGATTACATCTGAATTGCATTCCTCTGTTGTTCAATGAGCAGTGTTTTGTGGGATATGCTTAGATAAATAAATTCATGTAAAAATTACTTATAGTTCAATTAAATGTTTGATTTGGTAGCCAAAGAGTATGGAATCATAGTCTTGATCAGTGTGAAATTATAGGTTAGCGTCATCAACATAAAAACCAAGATTCTAAGTCATCCTTGAACTTCAAGGTAATTTTCAGAGACCCTTGAGATTATGTGTTAGAGATAGGGATGAAAAATTGATTTTATCTTTTATTCCAACCCAAATTTAGTAGCAGTAAATGCCTGCAGCACCATGGTAAGAAGGACTGCAAAGCTTTCAGGCTTTTCAGGAAAGAACACTCTAGTACTGGCTACCTTGGAGTTTAAGGAGACTTACTTTTGACCATTTTGAGGGCCTTAGCACAGAACTACTCTTGGTCCTAGCTGGTTAGACAAGCCTAGCTTTTCTATGATCCTCCAAATGGGATCTGAATAATCCAGTTATCATGTTAGCATTGAAGATAAAGAACTAGTATATTATATTTATTGGGTCTACTAAAATTTCATAGACGGGTAGAATTGACTCTTCAGATTCCAGAACAACCCTTCAGGTCTTGGATATACAAACTCCTTTAGTGTAGTGTCCTTGTGAGCATTGTCTGTGGGCGCCAACTTTCAAGTAGTTGGCTTGCAGCTCACACCAGAATGGAAAGGACATGTTTCTAGGACCCTGAAGAGAATTTTCATTGTTCACTGTTTTTATGCAACCAACAGGATAGTATGATAATTGTGTGTGTTCATTTAATCCGTATTTATTGATCACTCGTCTTACACAGTGTACTTAGGAATACAGAGATAAATAGAACACAGGCCCTACTCATGAAACTCATAATTTGATAGACATGGCAGCATCAATAATTTTTGAGTTTGGGCACTACATAGTCCTCATGCAATTGTTTGGCTTTCAGCAAGTCACTTTGAGCACCAGTTTCTTTAAATGGGTCTAATGGCAACATTGCTGGTTGAGATAATGTATGTGATATGTCTCACTTAGTGTCTGATACATGGTAGATGATAACTATCAGTAGCTTACATTTTCTAGTACTTTTAAGGTTTACATTGCAGTTTGACAAGTAAAATTGTATTAAATTCTTATAGTGTCCCTATAAGCTTATATTTTTTACTTTTTCATAAACCAAGTTAACTGGGGTCCAGATATGTTAAGTTTCTTAAGTTCAAGATTGCCAATCAGGTCCTAAAACTTGTATTTATTCATACAGCTATTCCAACATGTAAATATAAATTTGTTCAAAAGAAATGAGTGATAAGATATGAAATGAGATGGCTTTAAGGAATGCCGTAGCACAACAGAAAATCGTCAAATATTGATGCCTATGTGGAGGGAAGACAAAGCCAATGAACTATGTTTGTATTAGGCACTGAGTGATCCAAGCCTTTTTATTGTTCTTGACTTAGTCCAATGAGCAGCACCAGTGCCTGCAGTAATCAGCTGTTTGTATTATCTAGGAGCCCACTTATAGAATTGGGTGCTGAGATATCTTATTTTGCATTCTATTTAGTAGCCTATGTATGTTTGGTTAGAAGGAGGGAGGAGGGAGTTGAAAGGGGAGTTTGGATTTCAAGTTTGGCAGTAGTCATTCACAGTGAGCAATTTTATATGCCATTATTAGAAATGGAAATCAGTCTTGTAGCCATTTAGATCATGTGCAACAAAGGCTTTTGAATATTTTTAGTTGGTTAGTTACTTGCTAAAATTATGCAAGAAATATGATTTTCCCTTTATCTTTTTTCACTTTTGGGCTTCTTCCATTTTGCCTTCAAGGATAACATATAGGTCATTTCTGGAGGAAGAATATTATATTTGATAGCTTGATCCAATGTGGTAAACTTTAATAAATACTACTGCCCCACTTCTTCTATCACCCTCTCACTCCTGCTATTATCCAGGAGAAATGTGATATAATTTCTTTCATTAGAATTGAAGGGTGTTTTTATAGTCTTTCCATTTTTTCATTTATTCTCAAACATTAGGCTGTGTAGGTTTGTAGGTTTTCTGGCCAGTTTTGATTATTAAGAATCACAGCTTTTCTACCATTTAAGGTCACATTTATGAGTGATTCACTAATAAATCTAAGAACTGCAGTGGCTTGGGAGTAAATATAAGAGAAATGTTTCTACTGGAAAGAGAAACACTGAGAGGCAGAAGTGGAAGGCTATCTGGAGGGTTGTGGAATTGGCAATGGTCAGTGTTTCTGATCCTTAGGTTTGCAAGCTTATAAGCAATTGAAAAAGACAGTTATTGAAGACTTAATTTTTTCTGAAAGTACTACTGTTTGATTCTATATGAGCATAATTAATGATCATGCTGAATTAGGAATTTGGTTTGAGGGTTTCTATAAGAAACACTGTTGGATACTGCATTTCAAAAATGATAGAATTTTTTCTTAAATCTTCACCTCCTACTTTCTGGATGCTTTTTCTTTGATAATATATCTTTATTTGACCCAGTTATCACTAGAGTTCAGTTGCTACCAGACTTTTCCTACCAGTTGTTGTTGGCATCTGATTCCATCTGTTTACTCATTTATTCATTTCCCGTAAATTTTTACTCCAAATATCCCATAGGCAGTGTGTCAGAATATTTTTTTTTAACCAGTTGACTTTACATGGCATTTCTTTCAGAACATTCTGCCATTCATTTGTCAAGTATTTGTTGAAAGCTTACTGTGTGCCAAGCACAGTAATAGGCTATGAAACAAATGATCAGTGAAGTTCAATCCTTATGTCTAGGAACTCACAAATTGGGAAATTTGGGGGATGAAGGGGAGAGAGGTTAAGAAACATAAAGAGACATATAAGCAAACAATAACAATACATGTTACCTCTTTTTTCAAAGCACACTTCATAACTTTTCTGTTCTCTAGTATCTAGCCTTTGTAATCTTTCTTCTGTACTGTTGTCAGAGATATTTTTCTTAGATGCAGATCTGATCCAAGTTATTCTCTGCATAGTATACCTATGGAATAAGAACCAAACTTCTTAGCATAGCATGCTGGATATACTGTTTGCTCTCCAAATTCTCTCTTTACCATACTCTGTTCTTGGGGAGGCAGACCTTTATGGATTATATTAGCTGAGCTCCCTTGCCCTTTGGTTTCCTGTTGGGTTTAGCCAATGGGATACGGCTGGAGATTGCAAACTGGAAAGAAAGAGAGGTCAGATTATTTATTCTCTTGGTTCTCTACTTGTAGGGTCATTGGTTGACAGTGACTGCATCTTCCTGTATAGCTACAGTTGCAGCCACTGTAGCTGCCACTGAGTGCCAATAACTCTTGCTCTCCAGAGACGGATTAAACGTTAAGATAATGAAATTTAAACTTCAGGGCCCCTCACTTGCAGGGGACTTGCAGAGGCCTTAGGAATCTGTTTACAAAGCTATTTATTTTTGTAACATTTGCAAAAGTTATTTTTACATTCTTTCTGAAGAAGGGCCGACGGCTGGGCACAGTGGCTTATGCTTGTAATCCCAGCATTTTTGGAGGCCGAGGTGGGTGGATCACCTGAGGTCAGGAGTTCGAGACCAGCCTGGCTAACATGGTGAAACCCTGTCTCTACCCCAAATACCAAAATTAGCTGGGTGTTGTGGCATATGCCTGCCTGTAATCCCAGCTATTCAGGAAGCTGAGGCACGAGAATCGCTTGAACCCAGGAGGCGGAGGTTGCAGTGAGCCAAAATCACGCCAGTGCACTCCAGCCTGGGTGACAGAATGAGACTCCATCTCAAAAAAAAACTGGGGGGGGCGGGTACTAACAAAATGGTATAATCTTCAGGCCCTATAAAACTGGACCCTCCAATGTCCTTAACCTTGACCCTTCAAGCTTAGGTAAGTATAAGGTTTACAGGGAAGAGAGACTACTGAATAACATACTTGGGAAGGCTATTAATGAATATTTCATGGATGAAATAATAATTTGAGTTGGTGTTGTAGGATGAGGAGTTCTTCAGGTGAAGAAGGATAGAAAGGTCATTACAAATAGAAGACACAGCCTGTTCAAAGGGAATGAGTATTTTGATGTCTACAGTGAAGCATACTAGGTAGAAAACAAAGAAAATACAAAAGTCCTGCGGCAGGAATATGTCTGTCAGTTTTGAGAACAGCATAGAGATCAATGTGGCTGTAGACAAATGAGTGATGGGGAGAATAGTAGGTAAGGTTAGAGTTTCCTGTTACTTAGGGTCTTGTAAGCCGTTGTAAGGACTTTGACCTTTTATCCTGAGTGAGACTGGGAAACAGGAAGGTTTTGAGCTATGTGGACATGATCTGACTATTGTTTTAAAACAAGTAGCCTGGCCACTTTGATGAGAATAGATTGGCTGTGTTGCCACCCAAATCTCATCTTTAATTGTAGCTCCCATAATTCCCATGTGCTGGGGGGGGACCTGGTGGGAGATAATTGAATCATGGGGGTGGCTTCCCCCATACTGTTCTTGTGGTAGCAAATAAGTCTCATGAGAGCTGATGATTTTATAAGGGGAGATCTGATGATTTCTCCTTTTGCTTGATTCTGATTTTCTCTTGTCTGCTGCCATGTAAGATATACCTTTCACCTTCTGCCATGATTGTGAGGCCTCCCCAGCTACTTGGAACTGTGAGTTCATTAAACTTCTTTTGTAAGTTGCCCAGTCTCAGGTATGTCTTTATCAGCAACGTGAAAATGGACTAATACACAGAGAGACCAGTTAGAAGGCTATTCTAGTAATTTACACAAGAGATGATAATGATTTGGACAAGAGAGTTGATGGTAGAGTTGGTGAGAAATGGAAAGTACAGTATTCAGGATTTGTTGATGGATTCGATGTAGGGTATTAGAGTGACAGAAGCGAGTCAAGGATAACTCTAGTATTTTTGTCCTAAGTAATTGCAATGGCAAATTGCTGTTTACTGAGATGGATGAGACTGGGAAGAGCAAGTTTGAGGAATGGTGAAAATCAGGAGTTTTTTTGTACGTGTTAAGTTTAAGGTGCTATGTTAATCTGTTCTTTCATTGCTGTAAAGAAATATCTGAGGCAGGGTAATTTATAAAGAAAAGAGGTTTAATTGGCTCATGGTTCTGCAGGCTGTAGAGGAAGCATGATGCTAGCATCTGCTCAACTTCTGGGGAGGCCTCAGGAAACTTACAATCGTGGCAGCAGGTGAAGGGGGAGCCCGCACCTCACATGGCCAGAGCAGGAGGAAAAGAGAGAGTGGGGAGATGCTACACACTTTTAAACAACCAGATCTTAGGGGAACTCACTCACTCCCTATCACAAGAATAGCACCAAGAGGATGGTGCTAAACCATTCATGACAAACTGTCCCCACAATCCAATTACCTCCCACCAGGCCCCATTTCCAACACTGGGGATTACAATTTGACATGAGATTTGGTGGGGACACAGATCTAAACCATATTATTCTGCCCCTGGCCCCTCACACCTCATGATCCTTTCACATTGCAAAATACAATCATGCCTTCCCAACAGTCCTTCAAAGTCTTAACTTATTCCAACATTAACTCAATAGTTCAAAGTCTCATCTGAGACAAGGCAAGCCCCTTCCACCTATGAGCCTGTAAAATAAAAAATTAGTTAGTTACTCCCAAGATTCGATGGGGGTATAGTCATTGGGTAAATACTCCTGTTCCAAAAGGGAGAAATTGGCCAAAAGAAAGGGGCTACAGGCCCCATGCAAGCCCCAAACCCAGCAGGTTACTCATTAAGTCTTAAAACCCCAAAATTTGACTCCATGTCTCATGTCCAGGGCACACGGGGGTGGGCTCCCAAGGCCTTGGGCAGCTCAGACCCTGTGGCTTTGCAGGGTTCAGCCCCCACAACTGCTCTCATGGGCTGACATTGAGTGCCTGCAGCTTTTCCTGGTGTACCATGCAGGTTACTGGTGGATCTACCACTTTGGGGTCTGGAGGACTGTGGCCCTCTTCTCACAGCTCCAGTAGGCAGTGCCCCAGTGGGGGCTCTCTGTGGGAGCTTCAACCCTGCATTTCCCTTCCACACTATTCTAGTAGAGTTCTCCATGAGGGCTCCATTAGCAGCAAGCTTCTGCCTGGACATCCAGGCTTTTCCATACATCCTCTGAAATCTAGGCAGAGGCTCTTAAGCCTCAACTCTTGCACTGTGTGCACCTGCTTACAGCTTGCACCCTCTGAAGCAGCCTCAGCTATACCTGTGCCCCCTTGAGCCATGGCTGGAACTAGAGCAGCTGGAATGCAGGGAGCAGTGTCTTGAGGCTACTCAGGGTGGCAGGCACTGGGCGTAGCCCACCAAACTATTCTTCCCTCCTACGTCTCCAGGCCTGTGATGGGAGGGGCTACCTCCAAGGTCTTTGAAATGCCTTCAAAGCCTTGTCCCCATTTTCTTGGCGAATGCAAATTTCTGCAGCCTGCTTGAATTCCTCCCCTGAAAATAGACTTTTCTTTTCTATCACATGGCCAGGCTGCAAATTTTCCAAACATGTATGCCCTGCTTCCCTATTAAATATGTTCCAATTTTATGTCATTTCTTTGCTCACACATATGAGCATAGGTTGTTAGAAGCAGCCAGGCCAGATCTTGAACTCTTTGCTGCTTAGAAATTTCTTCTGGGTTGGGCATGGTGGCTCATGCCTATAATCTCAGCACTTTGGTAGGCCGAGTTGGGTGGATCACAAGGTCAGGAGTTCGAGATCAGCCTGGCCAATATGGTGAAACCCTGTCTCTACTAAAAATACAAAAATTAGCTGGGTGTGGTGATGGGTGCCTGTAATCCTAGCTACTCAGAAGGCTGAGGCAGGAAAATTGCTTGAAACTGGATAGCAGAGGTTGCAGTGAGCCACGATCATACCACTGCAATCCAGCTTGGGCAACAAGAGTGAACTCTGTCTCAAAAAAAAGAAAAAAAGAAATTTCTTCTTCCAGGTACCCTAAACTATCACTCTCGAGTTCAGAGTTTCACAGATCTCTAGGGCCAGGGCACAATGCAGCCAGGTTGTTTGCTAAGGCATAACAAAAGTGACTTTTTGCTTCACCTCCCAATACATTCCTGATTTCCATCTGAGACTTCCTTAGCCTGGGCTTCATTGTCCATATCACTATAAGCATCTTGATCACAACCATTCAACAAGTCTCTAGGAAGTTTCAAATTTTCCCTCATCTTCCTGTCTTCTTCTGAGCCCTCCAAACTTTCCCTTTGCCTATTACCCAGTTCCAAAGTTACTTCCACATTTTCAGACACCTTACAGCAACACTGCTTTCCTGGTACCAATTTTCTGTAGTTAGTCTGTTCTCGAATTGCTATAAAGAAACACCTAAGACTGGGTAATTTATAAAGGAAAGTTTAATTGTCTCATTGTTCTAGAGGCTGTACAGGAAGCATGATACTGGCATCTGCTTGGCTTCTGTGGAGGCCTCAGGAAACTTAGAATCATGGCAGAAGGTGAAGGCGGAACCAGCACTTCATATGGCTGGAGCAGGAAGAAGAGAGAGAGGGAGGAGGTGCTACAGTCTTTTAAACAGTTAGATCTCAGGATAACTCACTCACTCATTATCACAAGAACAGCACCAAAGGGATGGTGCTAAATCCGTCACGAGAAACTGTTTACATGATACAGTCACCTCCCACCAGGTACTGCCTCCAACACTGGGGATTACAATTCAGTATGAGATTTGGTGGGGCACAGATCCAAAGCACATCAGGTGCCTATTTGACATTCAAATGAAGAAGGTGAATAGACAATTGGCTATATAAGTCTGGGTAGAGTGGGTTGGGAGTACAAATGGAGTGTTGTAAGCATATAGATGGTGTCTAAAGCCATATGACTAGATGAGATACTAAGGAAGTGAATATAGATTTTTAAAGGGGGAGAAAGAAAGTGCCAACATCTGAGGTTTGGGACCCTCCAACACATCAGGGAAGTAGGAAGAACTGACAAGTTAAAGAAGCAGCCAGAGAGAAACAGAGAAAAAACAGAAATATGGTGATACAGAGAGCTAAGTGAATGAAGTGTTTCAGTGAGGCAGAGGTTGTCAACAATTCTTGGTATATCAAATAAGATAAGTATTGATAATTGACCGTTGGATTTAGCAATGTTCAGGTCATTGGTGATCTTGATGATGCTCAGCAGAGTGAATTTAAAATGAAGTGAGTTCATGGGAGGAGAGGAATTGGAGGCAATGAGAAGAGACAACCCATTAGGAGTTTTGCTGTAATGGGGGACAGAAAGTTGTTCTTTGGGAAAAGAGGAGTTGAGAAGTTTTTGTGTTTTGTTTTAATTATTAGTGTTTTAAGATGGAATAAATAATAGTCATGTTTGTATACTGATGGGAATGATCCATCAGAGAAAGAAAAATTGCTGGAGCAATGTCTTTGTCCAGTCAAGGGGGGATGGGATTTAGTGCATAAGTGGAGAGGCTGGCCTTAGATAGGAACATAGACAATTCATCTGTTATGACAGAAGGGAAGGTGTATTATATGGATATAATTCTTGTACAGTAGGTGGGAAGATGTGGTGGGGGTTTTTGAAAATTATTTTCAAATTTCTTTTTTCTCAGTGAAATAGAAAGCAATGCCATAAGTTGAAAGATAGGATAGGGAGGTGTTAGAAAAAAGGGGGAAAAGTCATCTAGGAGAATGAGACAGTTAATACACAAGGGGAATGTAGTATGATTTCTGGGCAGAATTAAAGCCCCACTTGGGATTAGTAGTCATGAATTTAAATTGACATCAGCCAGATATGGTGTCTCACACCTGGAATCCCAGCACTTTGGGAGGCGGAAGCAAGTGGATCACTTGAGATCAGCCTAGGCAATATGGTGACAACCTGTCTTTATGAAAAATACAAAAATTAGCCAGGTGTGGTAGTGCATGCCTCTATAGTTTCAGCTGCTAGGAAGACTGAGGTAGGAGTATCACTTGAGTCTGGGAGGTTGAGGCTGCAGTGAGCCGTGATCACGCCACTGCACTCCAGCCTGGGCAACAGAGACCCCTGTCTCATTAATAATAGTAATAATAATAAAGTGATATCAGTCAGCAGCCACATTAGCTGCACAGTTGCAGGTGCAGAATAAGTAGAAAGTTGGCCTTTGCTGAGCAAATAAAATGAAGTCAGATGGAGGAAAGTTGTCAGTGTATACAAGAGAATGATTGTGAAACATGAATATTTCCGATTGCATTTTTCATAATAGCCAAAAGCTGGAAATAACCTAAATGTTCATCAACTAATGAATGAATATACAATGGAATATTAGCCATAAAAGGAAATGAAGTACTGATACATGCCACAGCATGAATGAACTTTGAAAACATCATGCTTAGTGAAAAACCAGATGTAAAAGGCCACATATATGATTCCATTTTTATGTAGTGTCCATAATGGGCAAATCCACAGAGAAGATAATTAGTGTTATGATTGGGGCTGAGTGGAGGAGGAAAGGGGAGTGGCTGTTAATAGGAACATAGTTTCTTTTTGGAGTGATTAAAATATTCTGGAATTAGATAGTGGTAATAGTTGCACAACTCTAAACATACTAAAAATCACTTTAGAAAGGCAGATTTTATGGTATGTGAATTATATCTCAATAAAGCTATATAAAAATAACATGCTAGCTCACTAGAAATTTGCTTATCCCAAACTCAACAAATTGAACAGCTCAGAAATATAGCTGAGCTGTATTTGTAATCAACTAATGTAGGACTAAGGTGAACAAGTAGCTGTATTACAATGTTTGCAGTCTCTTTTCAGGTTTCAAGATTACAGTTGTTTTTTTCTCAGACATCCCTTAGTATTAAAATGTTATTGGCTAAGTTGCAGAGCTTGTGAGGAGAGACCAATTCTGGCTCAGTCTTAATTACTTAGTATCTTCATCTCTCCATCCCTTCCTCTCCCCTTCCAATTAACAAACCTTTACTAAGCTATAAAAATCATCAAGCACTATCCTAGGTGCTACTGGTTATACAAAGATGGATTGGACTTTGTCCCTCCCCTTGAATGTGAGGTTTAATGGGGAAATGAGGTTTAGGAACTTGGAGCACATTTCATTTTTAGGGTGAGACTACTCTAATCGTTCTTCAGCATCCTCCCATCTATAGCTTATAGATAACGTATGCACTCAAGGCATAAGAAACTTATTTGGATCTTCATTACGCTTGAAACATTCTTCCTTTTGTCTCTAGAACATCAGACATTCTTTCTCCTCTTACTCTAAAGTATTTTGGGGCTACCAGATGAAAACTCATAATAATTTTCTTCTGATGCTCTAGACCTGAAATATCTTTTATAAAAACTTCAACATTCAAAATTACGATGTATGTTAGGCAAAGCGTGCATACTGGTGCTATCTGCAAAACAAATAATAATGTTTACCTTGCAGGATTGTTGTGAGGGATCAATGAGTATACATAATTGATATATGGAAGTGTCAAACACACGAGCTCTTCAATAAACATTAGTATACTTTATCACTTTGCCAAAGTCTACAAACACTAATTTTATATATGGCAATATGTTGAGATTGCAGATATAGACATAGACCTTAACAGACAAACCCTAATTCCAAAGAGTTTGCCATTCATTGATGGAAATTAATTGGTTCAGAGATGTTGACCATGTCTACCTTATTATTTAATAACTTAATTAACTTACTACAAATCTATCGATGTTTTCCATCTTGGATTTTTATATCATAAAAATGTAGAATTCTTAGCTCATGACTATATGAAAAATAGATATTTGATAATGCTTTTTAATGATTATAAGCTAATTATATTTTGAATCTCATGCCTAACTGAAATGTAATGTTGCATGCTGGACTTTGAATTTACTAAAAAGTTCTTTTGTTGTCTTCCTAGAATGGAGCTGGTTTGTCAAAATCCAAAGGAAGCCGAATTGGATTTGATAGCACACAGTGGGTATGTAGAATAAACAAGAAATTTCTCAATTATAATGTTCATTTAGTTCATTCATTTACTCCGTAAGTATTTGTTGAATGATGGCAATAATAATAGCTACCTTGTGTGGTGGGTGGCCGGTTGGTAGTGGCAGGTAAGGGACAGGCCCTTTACCAAGTGCTTTATGCAATGTCTTATTTAGTCCCTATAGAAAGTTTAAGAAGTGAGTAAATATTGTTACTCTCAATTCACTTAGAGAGATTAAACTTAGTTGGCTGATAATTTGGTAAGACCAGATTCTGTCTGCCTCTAAAACCCACATTCACTGAGCTATGGTGTTTCCCTAAATGAATGAATATATGAATCAGATTTATTTGAATAAGGGAAAAGTAATGATCAGGAATAAAAATCTATTCAACCTATTCCTTTATAAGATGAGGGGAAACCAGCAATATATACAATATATCCTTGTTTTGTTTTAGAAATTTCAGAACCTACACATTGATAAAATATATTTTCCTATGTTTTAAAACTAAATTTAGAAAGAAAAACATTGCTGGGTTACTAATAAAACACAACATTTATTCTGTTAGCATACATTATGGGAATGACCAGATATTTCTTGATACACTTCAATCTTTGGCTTCTCTATAACTAGAGATGTGGAACACTTTAAATTAGAAGTGGATTTTCAGATCACCAAGCAGTGGTCATTTTAGATCATTGCTAACACCAAGTAGATTTTGAACTACTGTTTAAAAGTAAAGTCTGGGATATCCTATTATCAGGCTCCCCAGCTCTCTAGTCTATAAGTGTCAATGTAAACTTTTAATTTATTAAAAATAGCAATTGTTTTGCTCTGTGAATTTAGGGTATTCTGAGGATAAAGGTAAGCATGATATACTTGGAAGTTATACTACCCAGTCACAGTTATAAAGATTTTAGATTAAATTAAAAAGAGGTATTTTGTATGCTTCTCTGTAACACTTCTCTACCTCCATCCCACCCTTAGGAAACACATACACCTAATACTTGGACCTGATTTATCATCTTGTGGTTGAAGTAATTTGCTGAGATTTAAAATTCAGTATTTTAACAGCCAAAGGCAACAGGGGTGATCTTTCATACATTTTAACATTATAAGATGTGATGATACTTAGAGAAACATATATTTTTCAGATTTGCCATTTATTAGGAGTCTTCATCTGTACACTGTAAAGCAATTTCAGCAAAAAATTTAAAGCCGTAGTAGCTTCAGTTGGATAAAAGGTTTTCCTTTATCGGTATTAACCAACAACATTCTGACAACATTCCCAAACCTTTTAGTAAATAGAGAGAGCAGTCAGAGAAAGTACAGGTTCACTGATACATTTTAAAATGGAATTTGTGAAAAATTTAAAGCTTAAAATAATAGAAAAAAGTAGCGTGACTCTATCCTTTTCATTCAAGAAATGATCCTTGAGGTGGGAGAAAATAATGGATTTTTTTCAAAGTCTTTACTTCCACGGTACGCAAGCAAAAAGTTGAAGAGCAGCTTACCACATTCAGTGAGTTCTCTTTATACTCTTTTACATTGAGGGGACTAAAAAAAATTGTAAATGTGGTCACTGAATGACTATATTTGCAAAATCACAGGAAAGGAGAAGTACTAACATACTTCTAAACTTTTAGAAGGAATAAAAGGTGAAATCTCATCAATAGTGTGATATTGAGCCCTGGTAAAATTCTAGGGCTCAATGTTTATGGAGTTATTAAACAGATGACTTGGGAGCACTTAGAAAAGAAAATGATCATAATTAGGAACTAGGCTTTTACTAAGAACAAGTCCTGCCAAGACTTTTTAGGTTTTAATAAAATTTTAATACACAGGCAGATGAATGGGCTATTATGGTCTCAGCATAATCTCTTTTCAACAAGATGTTTTTCAGTCTTATAAACAAAATGAGTTACTGAAGGTCAGATGATAATAGTGATTTAGAATTAATTGGATTTAGAATCAACTGGACACGTTTCCAAGGAGCGTTAATGATTGTATTGATAACAACTTGGAGGATGTGTTTAGAAGGTGAGTTATAGAATCTCTGCTTGACCCTGACCTAATCTGTATTTATATTAATAATGGTAATGAAGCTATAAGTGTGTTCATCATATTTGTATTTAACACCAACCTGAGATCCATTCAACAAACATTAAAGTACCTTTTATGTAGTAGTTCTGTTATCTCATCTTTCTTCCAAAACCATTTCTTTCTTGTTTTTTTCCTAGTATAAAGCACAGAAAGTAATAACCCTAAAAGACACACACACACACACACACAAAATAGCTAAATTGGACTATTAAAATTTTAAACTTCTAGTCATCAAAAAACACTATTAAGAAAATGAATAAGCATGCCACAGAGTAGCAAATATTTGTAAAACATGTATCTCACAAAGGAATGGTATCAAAGATATATGAAGAACTCCCACACGACTCAGTAATAGATTTTTTGTTCATGCCTTTCATCAAGTTGAGGATGTATTTTATTCCTGGTTTGCTGAAAGTTTTAAATCATGAATAGATACTGAATTTTGTCAAATGCTTTTTTCTATATTGAAATTATCATAGTTTTTCACTTTTTTCTGTTGATTTGTCAAATTTTATTGATTGATTTTCAAATGCTAAAGTAAGCTTTCATTCCTAGGATAAATACTACTTGGTCATGATATTTACTTTCCTTTTTTATCTTTTTTTAGTTACTGGAATTGATTTTCTAATATTTTATTAAGTATTTTTGCATCTGTGTTCATGAGGGATGGTGGACTATACTTTTTTTTGTAAGGTCTTTGTCAGGTTTTGCTTTTTTTTTTTTTTTTTTGAGATGAAGTCTCTCTGTCGCCCAGGCTGGAGTGCAGCCATGTGATCTCGGCTCACTGCAACCTCCACCTTGTGATCTCGGCTCACTGCAACCTCCACCTCCCGGGTTCAAGTGATTCTCCTGCCTCAGCCTCCTGAGTTGCTGGGACTACAGGCACACACCACCACGCCCGGCTAATTTTTGTATTTTTAGTAGAGACAGGGTTTCACCATGTTGGCCAGGCTGGTCCTGAACTCCTGACCTCAGGTGATCCACCTGCCTTGACCTCCCACAGTGCTGGGATTACAGGCGTGAGAAGTTTTGCTGTTGAGTATGGCACTGGCCTCTTAAAATCAGATAGGAAGTATTTTCTCCTGCTCCATTTTCTCAGAAAGTTTTTGTAGAATTGGTATTCTTCCTTAAAAATGATAGAATTCACCAGTGAACTGTCTAAGTCTGAAGTTTTTCCTTGTTGTTTTGAGGGCAGTTTTTTTTTTTCCTAACAAATTCAGTTTCTTTAATAGGTATAGGGCAATTCAGATTTTGTTTCATCTTGTGGCAGTTTTGTTAAATTGTATTTTTAAAGAAATTTGTGTCATCTAAGTTGAATTTTTTGGTGTAACATTGTTTATCCTAACTTTTTACTTAGCTGTTTCTCACACTGAGGTAATAAACCCCTATAAGGCAGAGATTATTGTATTCTTGGCATTTGCATAATACTCTACACTAAAAACAAATAATGAGACTGATTCTTAGCTTTATCTCATCCTTTATCCTTACAATTGATATTTTGTCTATTTATTTATCTTGTATATATTTTTATGAGTTCCTTCAGATTTTCTGAATAAGAATTTATTCTTAATTTCATGAAGCACCTTTTTGATAGGCAAACATTCCTATAAGTCTTGCTTTCATTGAAGTAGGCTTTTAAGCAATAGTGTATGCCAGATATTCTGTTTATCCTTGCTGTTCTTAGATATTACTTATTCCTAAGTGTGATTTAGTCCATTTTCATTCTACTGTTGAATTTTTGTTTTTTTCAGTAGGGGACCCTACTTACTACCCAGCAGAGTTATATTTTGAAATATTGCAGTATTAGAAAAGCACATTATATATGGCAGTCATCAAGCAGGCAGTGTATTTTGGTCTGAGTCTTTTGCTTAGAAAGATTATTAAGCAGCATTACAGATATGAAGAAAAATGGTACAAACAACTGAATTTTGTTTTTGAAAGATTAACAAGACTGATTTTTAAAAGCTGACGGATAGTTCTCTCAATTTTGCTTGAAAAGATTTAGCTAATACTAAGAGAATAATTTTTTAAGCACCACATTTTCATGTCAGATACCACTTCCTCTGTGAAATTTCTTATCCTTTTGATGTATGGTAAATTTGTAGCTTACTGGTCTGTACTTTTATAATATGTTGTATATGTTTTTCTTGTAGCATATTTCACCTTATATTGAAAATGTTCATCTTTCTTAGAAGACTGCTTATTGAGAGCAGAGACCATATGTGCTATTTAATCATTTGTATTTTTTAGCACAATGATAAGCATGGTATCTATTGGGTAACTACTCTGCATTCTTATACAATTAATGAATTAAAATGTTATAAAATAGACTGTTGTGTTGGCTTACTGGAATTACGAGAATTCTTTTTCTCTCAAACAGCGTGCAGTTAAAAAATTTATTATGTTAACATCCAACCAAAATGTACCAGTGTTTCTTATTGATCCTTTGATACTGGAATTGATTAATAAGAACTTTGAACAAGTCAAAAATACTTCTCATGGCTCTACTTCACAATGCAAGTTTTTCTGTGTTCCAAGAGACTTTACTGCATTTGCACTGCAGTATCACCTATGGAAGAATGAGGTAAGTGACTTGCTTTCAGATAATGGAATGTGTCTCTTTTTACAAAATAGTATAGGTTTAGGCTAGTTTAAAATGTAAAACATTAAAAATTTTTCCTGAAACACTTTATAAATTGTATCAGGAATATTTTCAGCTATAAATAACAATACAACTAATCACTAAGGCAAATAGGGGATTTCTTTTTCTTATATAATGAGAGGTTAAAAGGTTAGTGGCTATTGATATTAGTTTAGCTAGCCACTGATGTCAGGACTTGTGTCTCTGAAATTCTTTATTCATTTACCTCATTATCACAGGATAGCTGTCGTAGCTCCACATATCACATCCATGTTCACAACAGGAAGATGAGAGGAAAGATTCTGCTTTTTTGCTGGGGGAAACTTCTCAATATCGGTATTTTTAGGTCATTTCTGTTGAACTGTTTGATATCTCATAGAAAAAGCCTACAAGGCTTATTTTTACAAAGAATATTTTATAATGTCCCTTTATATTCCCCAAATGAAGTTCATAGAAATTATAACCCTCCTATATACATAATTCCCCAAATCAATATAATGTATTAACTATAATATAACCTAGAAATAAAAGGAAATGATATGTATTGCTGTGTGCAGATGCTCCAGAATGACTACACTGGAAGACATAATAAAGTAATTCAGATGCTTGTATTTAGAAGTAGGATCACAGAATGTGGTAGCTACAAATATAAACCCATACTATGAATGATATTGTTGTTGGCAATATGATTTTCCAAAATAGTGAGCAAGTTTCCAACAACAAAAAAAGTAAAATTGTCTCTTCATTGACATGACTATTGTATTCCTGAGAAATAAAAGCTCAGACAATTATAAACAAGTTTTTCACTATGTGATTATGTGACAGGACATTTGAAATTACATAGTACACAGGATAGATTTTCATATTTTGGATTGTAGGATATCTAATGTTCTTGGCCTAGGACTCTAAATGCCAGTTTGTCATTATGATAAACCAAAAATATCCCCCCAAATTTCTGAAGTATCTGTTGGGTACAGTCCCACTTGCCTTGAGAACCACTATTTTAGAAGAAGGGGAGTATGCCACCATTGGCAAAACTGATACTACCATAGTCAAGAGGAAGAAGCAAAAGCTCAGCCATACCCAGAATCAGCACATGGGTTCAAGTTTATTCTTCGTTTGTTTTTGTTTGTTTGTGTTGGGTTTTTTGTTTTTGTTTTTGTTTTTTGAGACGGAGTCTCGCTGTGTCACCCAGGCTGGAGTGCAGTGGTGCAATCTCTGTTCACTGCAATCTCCGCCTCCCAGGCTCAAGGGATTCTCCTGCCTCAGCCTCCTGAGTAGCTGGGATTACAGGCGTGTGCCACCACGTGTGACTGATTTTTGTATTTTTTTTTAGTAGGGACGGGGTTTCACCATATTGGCCAGGCTGGTCTTGAACTCCTGACCTCAAATGATCCACCTGCCTCAGCCTCCCAAAAGTTTCTCCTTTTGTACATATGACATCCTACTATTCAAGAGATTCAAGAGCCCTTGGATAGTCCCCCCTAAAACATCCCCCAATGTGGAGCTAATCAGATTGTTAGATCTAATAATGAAAGACTCCATTTGCATGTGATTTTTCTTTATTAATGCCATTACCATAAAGTGAGCAAACCTCTGCCAAGGCTACTGGGAGTGGACTTTTCTAGCAAAACCTTGACCTAGGCCTTTACACCAATTGATCAGAGCAACTATTTTGTTCTTTACTTCTCTTGTTGATGGTTATAAGAAAGCAAACCATATCATAATTCTGCCTATTTTGTCTGTCAGTCTTTCCTCCTATAACCCAAGGTCACGTTCTTCTCAAGTTCTGGCCGGCCTTTTAAATATTTCCTGAATTTGTCAGCTGATAATGCCTTTCTTTTATTCTATTCAGTAGTGTCTTTCTCTGAATTGGCTACCCTCCCCCTCAGTCAGTGCTTTCTACTTCTAAGGTGTACCAAGAAAGAAAAGGGAAGAAGGGAATGTTACAGTTGATAATGAAACAAATGATGTTGGAAAATGAACCTTGTCTTACAGTATGTTTGTTAATTTCTAATGATTTGCATTATGATGGTGTTCTATTATGGTAGTATTTTAAGATGTTGGGATGTAAACTATGAGATGAAAGAACTACTTTTTTGAAGTACTTTTGAAGATAAAGGTTATTAAAAGTTAAATTAAGAATTACAAGTTTAATTTTAAGTGCTGTCCTTAAATCAACATTTACTTTATAGAAACTAACTGGAAAACACTAACATGAGCATTCTCATTCCAAGGAAGGGATTTGTATTAATTTTCATAGAGTTTTTTTTGTTTTTTTTTTTTGAGACAGGGTCTCACTTTGTCACCCAGGCTTGAGTGCAGTGGCACAATCTTGGCTCACTGCAGCCTTGATCTCTCAGGTTCAAGTGATCCTCCTGGCTCAGACCCCCAAGTAGCTGGGACTACAGGTACATGCCACCACACCTTGGCAAATTTTTGTTTGTATTTTTTGTAGAGACAGGTTGCCCAGGCTGGTCTCAAACTCCTGAGCTCAAGTGATCCACCTGCCTCAGCCTCCCAAAGCGCTGGGATTACAGGGGTGAGCTATGGTGCCCAACCTATAAAGAGAGTCTTTGGCTATATCTTTCCTGCTACATACTTTGTATTTTTGCTGCTTTCCTTTATTCTCCCACCACTACCTTCTGCCCATCACCCTCATTAAAAAATGTTCTTACAGAGCAGATTAGCACAAAAATATGGCTCAAGTTCAATATAAGAATCACTTTAGTTTTGCTACTAGTATTTGGCTTTAAATATTCAATGTTTAAGTGTTGTTTCTTGATGTTTGATGCTTCTTTGGTTCTAGGAAGGCTGGTTTCGGATAGCTGAGAATATGGGATTTCAGTGCCTAAAGATTGAGAGTAAAGATCCCCGGCTAGACGGGATAGACTCACTCTCTGGAACTGAAATCCCCCTGCACTATATCTGCAAACTGGCCACTCATGCGATCCACTTGGTAGTCTTTCATGAGAGGAGTGGCAACTACCTCTGGCACGGCCACTTGAGACTTAAAGAACACATTGACAGGAAATTTGTTCCCTTCCGAAAGTTACAGTTTGGTCGTTATCCAGGAGCTTTTGACAGGTAAGTTCAGAGTCAAAACGTGAAATGTGAAATGAGTGTTGTTCAGTCATAATTCTTGCAGTGTTTTTACATTTGAGTATTGAAATCTAATATATAATTTATATAAGTATTTACAGTAACATTATTCTTAATGACTCCAAATTAGAAGCCACCCAAATGTCCTTCAACAATAAAAGGATTGGCTGGGCACTGTGGCTCATGCATGTAATCCCAGCACTTTGGGAGGCCGAGGTGGGCAGATCACCTGAGGTCAGGAGTTCGAGACCAGCCTGGCCAACATGGTGAAACCTCGTCTCTACAAAAAAATACAAAAATTATCCATGCATTGTGGTGGGTGCCTGTAATCCCAGCTACTGGGGAGGCTGAGGAAGGAGAATTGCTTGAGCCCTGGAGGTGGAGGTTGTAGTGAGCCGAGATTGTGATACCACACTCTAGGCTGGGCAACAGAGCAGGACTTTGTCTCAAAAAAAAAAAAAAAACTGTAAAGGAATAAATAATTTTTGATATATGTGTTCATACAATGAAGTATTACACAGCAGGGAAAAATAAACTAGGGGTCTGTGCACATTGTGGATGAATCCTACAATGCTGAATGACACAAGGCACAAAAGAATCTAAATTCTATTATTATTATTATTTTTTTCCATTCAAAAGTTTCTTTTATTCATTAATAAACAATGATATATATGTATACACAGCTTCATAATCATACCAAAAAAGTTTAAGTGAACTATCCTTTAAAGGCTGAGACCATAACTTTTTGAACAGAAATAATATGGATTATAAGACAGTATATTGATTTTTGCTGTCTTTATTTTAATATAAAGAACAAATTGTGTGGTAAGACTAATTTATTTTCCCACTTTGAAATTAAACCTCTCTAGAAACATTTAGATAAATTATGAACTAATCTTTAAAATACCGTATTACTTCAGCATTTCAAAATCAGTAAGTTTGGAAACTGTATTTAAGTTAATATTAGGAATAATATAACCACTGTTGATAACTAACAATATAGCCAAAAGAAAATGTGGTACATACACACAATGGAGTACTATTCAGCCATAAAAAAGAATGAGATCCTGTCATTTGCAACAACATGGATAGAACTGGAGATCATTATATTAAGTGAAATAAGCCAGGCACAGAAAGACAAACTTTCCATGTTCTCACTTATTTGTGGGAGTGAAAAATGAAAATAACTGAACTCATGGAGATAGAGAGTAGAATGATGGTTATCAGAGGCTAGGAAGCATAGTGGGAGAAAGAGGGGAAGAGGGGGATGGTTAATGGGTACAAAAAAATAGTTAGAAATAATGAATAAGACTGAGTATTTGCTAGGACAACAAGGTGACTATAGTAAAAAATAATTGTACATTTTAAAATAACTAAAAGTATACTTGGATTGTTTAATACAAAGGATAAATGCTTGAGGTGATAGATACCCCATTTACTCTGATGTGATTATTATGCATTGCATGCTTGTATCAAAATATTGCATGTAACCCATAAGTATACACACCTACTATGTACCTACAAAAATTGAAAATACAAAAGTGAAAGTAAATTCTATTATTACTTTTATAAAAAGTTCAAACACATGCTAAATTATGTTCATGGATGTATACCCTTATAGTAAAAGTATTAAGAAGGCTAAGCAAGACGTACCAAAAAAGACTAGATAGAGGACACAGAGAACTACAGGGAAACTGGAAGAATTTTATTTCTGTGGTGGAGACTTTGGTGTTTACTTTATAATTCATTATTTTGTGCCTTTATGTTATGCACTTTCCTATATATTTTTTAAAACCATGTGCAAAAATTTATCTTTGGCTATCTCAATAATAAAAATATTTCTTGTGAGAAACAGTTATTTGAAGGAACTCATGTAAAATTTGATTAGCTATAGTTTATAATATTAACAATTACAGGATTAAAAACATTCTTGAAGTTATACTTGGAGTATGAAGTTTCTAACCTAGAATTGTTCCTTTTATTCTCCTTTTGAAATCAGCGATAATGATGTTACAGTCTACTTTGAATAGCAGAATCTGATGTAAAGGTAGCAGTAAATATTTGTAAGGATTTTCACATTAAAAACTCCTTCTTAGTAACTTCCAGTGAGATAATTCTTATCTGTTACACTTGAGAAGTGTAAGAGTATGTTTATTCTTGCCTTCTTTTAAAAATATATATATATATTATATATATATGTTTTCTCTCTATCTGGAATCATGTGAGATTGCCTTCTTATTAGTACTTAAAGTCACATATTTGAGAATGACTGAAAAAGGTATTCGAAACTGAAGTCTTCTATATTTTTTGTGTATGAAAAGTCGGAACTTTTCTGAACCAAGCCATATTTTCAAAATGACCAAAAAAAATGAGTAGAGATGGAGAACAATACTTTGTTTTTATTATTGGCTTCTCTTATTTTAATCAAAAATCTTAATACTCACTGTTCTCTTACCACTTTTTTGCCTGTTTTTTTCTTATTCTGTATTTCAAATGACCTTCTTTAGGGAGACATTATCTTTTAGTTTTTTAAAGCTTTGTGAATTTATTTCAAAATTTAATAACTTAGTAAAGTTCAAAATTGTGAGTTACTTATTAAACATAAACATGTGACAATAGATAAAAGCTATCTCTACATTGTAAAATTTTATATGAGTAGGAATGGAAAACTCTCAAATAATATTTTTAGAGTATGGGATCCAAAATACATAAGATAGATTTGCAGATTAGCATTTTACCCATTAATGAGATTCTCAGGCCATTGTAATTAACTTGTGTGTCTTAAGTGTTAAAAACATTTACTTCTCTAAAAGTAAACTGATAATTAAAAATTATGTCACAAAATTTTTGTTTCTGCTTAAAATGCCAAGTGTGTATGAACAAGTACAAATATATTAATATATAAATACATTAACCAAAATAATTAAAACTCAACTGTTTGATGTCAGATTTTTCAAGGTCTTATTAAAATTGCTAATTGATATCTGACATAATTGATGAAACTATGCTTGATGTTTAGGTATTTTGCTAATGTTTGATATTTGTAAGAGGCTGCCAGTATTCTGGGTTAAATCCTTTTAATAAATCTTTTATTATTATTATTATTATTTTTAAATTTTACTTTAAGTAGTGGGACACATGTACTGAACGTGCAGGTTTGTTACATAGGTATACATGTGCCATGGTAGTTTGCTGCACCTATCAACCTGTTATCTAGGTTTTAAGCTCTGCACGCATTAGGTATTTGTCCTAATGTTCTCCCTCCCTGTTTCCCCCACCCCTCATTAATAAATCTTAACTTTTGTTTTCAGGCCAGAGTTACAGCAAGTTACTGTTGATGGACTGGAAGTTCTCATTCCAAAGGATCCAATGCACTTTGTAGAAGAAGTACCACACTCTAGGTTTATTGAGTGTAGGTATAAAGAAGCTCGAGCATTCTTTCAGGTTAGAGACAACCAAATGTGTACTTTTAAATTAAAGAAAATGTTGGGATTATTTTTAATATTTGAGGGTGGTAAGATGAAGGGGCTTATGGAAAATAGAAAAGTAAACATCCTTTTTTGATATGTCTCTTTTCTTCTAGATTGTTTTCTTTCAGTTTTTTTTAGAAGTAGATTAAAAATTAACCTTAAGAAACTATTTTCTAAGTCAATAGGTTGATATTTATTTATTGTTTTATTTGAATAACTTTAATAGATTTAGCACTGGCTTCTGCCTTAAGATAGCCCATTAACTTTGTGAAAGGTGGTGTATTCTCAGTCCAAGTAGGATAAAGCCACTATAGAAGATGGACCATGTAGATTTAGAAAAGACTTCATGAAAATACAGTTTGTTTCAGAGTTGGCATTGAATATAATTTTTTTTGCATTTATGAAGGTTTTTGAAGATAAATGCTACACAAAGACCAGGTGCTTTTAAAACTTTATTCTCTTGCTGCAGCTTTCAATTCAATACACATTTATTGTGTTCCGCAGGCTTCTGGCCCTGGGGATATAAAGATGATTTTGAAAGGCATGAAAGTTCAGCTCTAAGAGATGACATGAAACACAGAGATACAGTGAAAACAGGCAAATTTACAGTGGGGTTTTGGTACCTGAATTCTTTCACTTGCCCTTTATTTTCTGGGGTTCCCTGCCAAGAAAGCTGTGTCCACGAGGGATACGAAAATGAAGTATATAACTGTCAAGTGCCCAAGACCCACAAATCTGAGGTTTCTCTAATACAGTGTACTGGCACCTAAAGCTGAGGCCTGACAGCCCAAGTGGGCCTTCGTAGCCCTATTTCCTTAAGTCATTGTGGAGCTGTGAAATTTATGCAGCCAGCCTCATGAATAAAAAGCTGAAAAACCACATGTGTGGATGGGCCTACTCTAGTAGAAAAGTGCTGCCTGACATATGCCTACCACATAATAACAGGAAGTAGAAGAGATGGAGTTTTGTGCTTAAACTTGACCGCTCTTCCTGTCCTAAGGGAGTTTGCTGTGGTTGTCATCTCTATTATAGCAATTATCACAGTGAATTATGAATATCTGTCTTGTCCTCTTATCAAATTTTATGAACTTCTTGATAACAGGAGTGTTCTTTTATTTACCTGTGTTGGCCCAGTATCTACTGTACCTGGCATAAAGAAAAGATCCAGTAGGGTCAGTTTTCAAATTAAAGTGAACATACATGTATTTGAACACTTGATGGCGCCAAACAGTCTTAAATGTAATGCTTGGTGTAAAGCAATAAATTAATCTAATAGACCTCATCAAGCAGCCGCCTTTCTTTTTTTAAAATAATTTTTAAAAAGCAATTTTAAATACATAAAAGCTGCAAGTACAGTACCGATAACTTTTTTTTTTCTGAACCACTTGGGAGTAAGATGTTGACCACAACTTCAAAAAATTTAGTATTTTTTTAAAAATAGGAACATTCTCTACATGTCCTAATATGAAAGTTAGGAAATTAGCACATACATTTTTACCATTTAATCCCTATTCAATTTTTGTCAGTTGTCCCAATAATAACCTTTGTAATAAAAAGATTCGATTCAGAATCACATGTTGTCTTAATTTTCCTGTCTCTTTAGTCTTCTTCAGTCTGGGACAGTTTCTCAGTTCTTTTATTACTTTCATGACTAATACTTTGGAAGATTACAAGCCAGATGTTTTGTGCAGTGTCCCTCATTTGGGGTTTGTCCGGGGGTTCCTCATGTTAGATTTAGGTTATACTTCTTTAGAAGGTATAGAAGTGGTGCTGTGTTCTCATTACATCTCACTGGGCACTGCATAATTTTGATTTATCCCATTACTGTTGATATTCACATTGTTCACCTGATTAAAGTGCTGTCTGAAACTTCGTATCTTTACCACTATGAAGTTTCTGTTTTTCCCTTTATAATAATAAGCATCTGGCAAGAAGTTACTTTAAAACTATGTAAATATTGTTTTCCTCATTACATTTTCAATTTATTTGTTCATATCAATATAAATAAATTCATGGTTTCCTATTTTACCCTATGGGTTATAGTCAATTATTTTCATTATTTATTTTGATCTTCAGATTGTTCCATATTTGGCCAGTAGAAACTCCTTCATAATGCTTTCTGTGTCCTTTTGACTTGTCTCCGTTGTTTTTTGAACACTTTAGTACTTTTTGGCACTATAAAATATTCTGGGTTCATCTTACAATTTTCATACCTCCACCCTGGGATCAGCCATTTCTTTAAGTCCTGTTTCCTTTTAGAAGCCAAGACCTGGATGCCAGGTGTACCCATTGCTATTTGGGTTTTGCTGCAGAGAGTTTCTCTCAGTGAACAGGGGTAGGGTGTATATGTCTGTGTGTATTTATTTCTGTATCTATCTATTGAAACCTCTGAATTCACATTGACATCTCCAGTCCGGTTAAAAGTTCCAATTAAACAACAGAGTTCATTTCCATATTTGCGACTCCCTTTTCAAATCGTGAGAAATCTGACTCCCATTGACCTTAATGTTTACTTAGTTGTTCAGTCTCCCTGTATGTAACCTATCTTCCAACACATGTCCTCCCCTCCCTACCCCCTGTTCTTCTCACCCTACCTGGGCACTGCTATCCTCTGCTGGGCTGCACACACGTAGAGGCATTCTTCTTACCCTGTTCAGGCTCTGACTTCCCACACCTGGCTGCTGTTCTGCAGAGAGGCTTTCCTCACCCTGCTTGGGCTCTGACTCCCCACACTGGACACTCTCCTACTCTCTTCATGTGGATGTCCTCATTACCTGCCTAGGCTCTGATACCCCGTATCAGGCAATCCCTTTGCACAAAAACCTTTCTTGCTCTGCCCCATCTAATGGTTTTAGTATCGAATAGTTCAGGAAGGGCGGGAGACTTTATTTACTTTTAATTATTTTCTCAATCTACCATGAAGTTCAAAAACTAGAATAATATACCTTTTCCTGAATTTGATTTTGTTTTAGCAAAAACCATCACAAGATAATTAATGAGCTCCAGGCTGTTGAATATCAGTGAAAAACCAAAAGGAAAGTTGGAAATACCTGTACACCTGGCCTAGGAATATCTAGATAACAATATTTTTATTTTATTTCTACTAATTTGCTCTAAGATTTTGGGCAAATTTCTGAGCCTTGGTTTCCTCATCTACAATAAGAGTTGGTACCTTCTGTCATCTTATTCTTTGATATAAGGTTTGTGCTTTTGGATTCCACGATTCTTCTTGGGCTTTGTGTCCCCGTTCATTGGCTGAACAGGAAAAATTAAATAAACATGATATTTAAAGTAGGATATTAATTTTGTCTTTTTTTAGAGGTATAGTAATCCTGAGATTTGTACTTGGGATTTATTTTTATTTGTTTACTTATTTATTTTATTTTTAACTTGTAAGTTCAGGGGTACAAGTGCAAGTTTGTTACATAGGTAAACTTGTGTTGTGGGGGTTTGTTGTACAGATTATTTCACCACCCAAGTATTAAGCCTAGTACCTATTAGTTATTTTTCCTGGTCCTCTTTCTCCTCCCACCCTCCAAAAGAACCCATTGTGTGTTGTTCCCCTCTATGCGTCCATGTGTTCTCATCATTTAGCTCCCACTTATAAAAACATGAAGTATTAGGTTTTCTGTTCCTGTGTTAGTTTGCTAAAGATAATGGCCTTCAGCTCCATCCATGTCCCTGCAAAGAACATGATCTTGTTCTTTTTTATGGCTGCATAGTATTCCATGGTGTATATATACTACATTTTATTTATCCAGTCTATCATTGATGAGCATTTAGATTGATTCCATGCCTTTGCTATTGTGAATAGTGCTGCAGGGAACACACACATGTATGTGTCTTTATAAGAGAATGAATGATTTATATTCCTTTCAGTATATACCTGATAATGGAATTGCTGGGTCAAACAGTATTTCTGTCTTTAGGTCATTGAGGAATCACCACACTGTCTTCCACAATGGTTGAACTAATTTACACTCCCACCAACCGTGTATAAGTGTTCCTTTTTCTCCACAACCTCACCAATATCTGGGGTTTATTTTATTTTATTTTATTTTATTTTATTAGTTTTTTTTTACTTGTTATAGTAGCCACTCTGACTGGTATTAGATAGTATCGTATTGTTTTTTATTGCATTTTCTAATGATCAGTGATGTTGAACTTTTTTCATATGATTGTTGGCCACATGTATGTCTTTTGAAAAGTGTCTGTTCGTGTCCTTCACCCACTTTTTAATGGGGTTGTTTGGTTTTTTCCTTGAAAATTTGTTTAAGTTCCTGATAGATGCTGGATATTAGACCTAATAGTTAAGGTTTGCAAACCATAGTTTGCAAAAATGCTCTCCCATTCCATAGGTTATATGTTTACTCTGTTGATAGTTTCTTTTGCTGTGCAGAAGCTCTTTATTTTAATTAGATCCTATTTGTCAGTTTTTGCTTTTGTTGCAATTTCTTTTGGCATCTTCATGAAATTTTTGCCTGTGCCTGTGTCCTAAATGGTATTGCCTGGGTTATCTTCCAGGGTTTTATAGTTTTGGGTTTTACATTTAAGTCTTTAATCTATCTTGTACAGGATATTTTTAAATGAAAAAAGTATGTATACTATAATTTTTAAAATTTATAGCAGATGTTTAAGGTATATAGCTCTATGCATGTATGCACTTTAACACATACAAGGATCAGTTCTGAGAAATGGAATTTCTGGCTGGGCGCCATGGCTCACGCCTGTAATCCTAGCACTTTGGGAGGCCAAGGCGGGTGGATTGCCTGAGCTCAGGAGTTTGAGACCAGCCTGGGCAACATGGCGAAACCCCGGCTCTACAAAACACACAAAAATTAGCTGGACATGGTGGTGTGCACTTGTAATCCCAGCTACTTGGAAGGCTGAGGTAGAAGAATCACTTGAACCCAGGAGGTGGAGGTTGCAGTGAGCCAAGATCATGCCCCTAAATTCCAGCCTGGGCAACAGAGAGAGGAGACTTTGTCTCCAAAAAAAAAAAGAAATGGAATTTCTGAGAGTGTCATGTTAAGAAAAGTAGATTGGGGTGGGAATATGTCCATATGGGAGCAGTACCAGCAGCAGGTAACTATCAGACCTGATGTTTTTGTAGAGCACAAATTTTTCATATTTGCTGTTTAGTCCTTTCAGTCACTCTGTGTAATAAGGCAAGGATTCTTTTAACAGGTAAGAAAATTGATGTTTCAAGATGTCAGTTACATGGTCATCATTGGTTGAGCATGGACTAAATCCTAGGTCTCCACCTCTTAACTCCAGGCTTTTCCTACTACAACAAGCATTATAACATGTATCTCTCATTCCAGTCATTTATTGTAAGAGCACTTATGGCTTTGAGGAAAGGGATGTATTCAAATTGAAGGGATCCTGTGTAATTTGTATATTCTGTAGACAGTGACTTATCTGCAAGAAATTCTTCTTACTGAAGGTAGGGTACTTTTTGCTTAAGATTCATATAGTCCATCCAGGATCTATATTCTTTCCTACTATATTGTAAAAGAATTACAGGATATTTTAGGATGTTGCAGGCCTGGGAGGGGCTTAGTCAATCATTTATTCATTTGCCCATTCATCAGTATGTGTTTTTCAGATATTATGTGCCAGGCACCATTCTAAACCTGTAGATACAGTGATGAAGAGATGTAGTACTTGCCCTCAGGGAACTATCTTTACAGTCTAGTGGAGGGAATATAAAATTGATGATTAGGAATAAATATGATATGAATTATAGTAAAAGTATTTACAAGTGGTAACTATTATAAGCTTGTTAAGGAAAAAGATAATTCATTTGTCTTTGTATATCTAGAACCAAACATAATTCTTTGCTCTATAAATGTTGAATAGAAACACTTCCTGAATAGGAACATTGGAAGAATAAATACATATGTCTTCCTGGGAAAACTGGGGAATGTTTTGCAGAGGTTGGAGCTGAGACTTGAAAGATTTTATTGATCAGGGCCATATCAGACAAAGGAAACAAGTGCGGAGGCTTGAAAAGTTGTGGTGTATTTGAGGAGTTACAAGTTATTGTGGTATATTTGGGGGTTTACAAGTTATAAGATGAAGTGTGAGGAGATGCAGATGAGGCTGGACCCCAGTAGTCAGGAACCAGAACACAGTGTTTATGTCCACCAGGACAAGAAGTTTAGATTTTGTCCCACAGGTAGCGAAGCAACACTATAGAATTTATAGTGCTTTCCTCAGCTCCAGAACACTCTAAAAACGAAGAGAATCAGAAAACCAAGATGACTAAATGATATATATGACCTGACAATTTGCAAGACATTTTTCTCCTTCAATCTTCACAGCAGTCCTGTGAAGTATAATAATTATCTTTAAACTACAAATGAGAAAAGTAGATACAAGAGAGATTTGTTTATTACATTCTTTCATTCATTCAGCAAATACTCAGGCACTACTCTACCCACTGGAGATATAATGATAAAATGAATGCACTTTCCTCATAGAAAGTGAGGATGATATGTACATGGTCAAAGCTAAAAAGAAGTGCACTAGATTTGATAATCTGATTCAAAATCTCAGGCTTTTTCTACTATACTACACAGTCTCTAAAGACCAATAGAATCACTGAATGGTGAAAACATTATTAAATTCTTTTTGTTTCAGCTATGTTTGTAGCTCTCATAATTAGCTTTATTTTATCCTGATTGTCCAGCTACTAAATTGTGATGTAAAGGAGGGAGCTGATAAAAGGATGTCTCATCCTTTGGGAATCCTGGTTCTATTCTTTCCCTTTTAATTTATCTCTCCAAGAATCTGCTCTTAAGTGTTCATTTTAATGTGGGACAAACAAGTAACTGTAAAATGTGGTTTTTATAATATAAAAAGATTATATGGGGTTAGTTTTCTTTTTTTTCTCCTTTCTTTCTTTTTTTTTTTTCTTTTTTGAGACAGTCTCATTCTGTCGCCCAGGCTGGAGTATAGTGGTGTGATCTTTGCTTACTGCAACCTCCACCTCCCGGGTTCAAGTGATTCTCTTGCCTCAACCTCTCGAGTAGCTGGAACTATAGGCGCGGGCCACCACTCTCAGCTAATTTTTATGTTTTTAGTAGAGATGGGGTTTTGCCATGTGGGCCAGGCCAGTTTTGAACTCCTGACCCCAAGTGATCCACCTGCCTTGGCTTCCCAAAGTTCTGGGGTTACAGGCGTGAGCCACTGTGCCCAGCCTGGGGTTAATTTTCAAATTTAATTCAGATGCCACAGAAAGGTTCCTAGCAATTTAGAAATGGCTGTAATAGCTGACTATTTATTATATCTGTAGCAGTACCTTGATGATAACACTGTGGAAGCTGTGGCCTTTCGGAAGAGTGCAAAGGAATTACTGCAACTAGCAGCGAAAACATTAAACAAATTGGGAGTACCATTCTGGCTGAGCAGTGGAACTTGTCTAGGTAAAATTCTTACGACTTTCCATTTGTCTTTCTGTCATTTTGTCCTCTGGCTTTAGGGATTACTGCTTGAGATGACAAAATATCAGTGACATTTGAAGTGTCATGTGTATAGACAGAATAAACATGAGTGCATGCAGCAAGGATCTATTGATTTCCTTAAAGAAATTAATTTGAGAATTATAAAAAAGAATGTTAGAAAGGCCATGGTTGTGTTTACTCATAATTATAAATAATATGTATAAAATGTATATCAGAACATGTAGACTATACAATAGTCCCCCCTTATCCATGGACAATACATTCCAAGACCACCAGTGGATGCCTGAAATCTCCGATAGTACTGAACCCTATATACGCTGCTCTTTCCCTATACATACATATGATGTTTAATTTATAAATTAGGCACAGTAAGAGATGAACAACAATAAATAATAAAATGGAACAATTTTAACAATACTATAATAAAAGTTGTGTGTGATCTCTGTCTCTCAGAGTATCTTATTTTACTGTACTCACTGTTATTCTTCTTACGATGGTGTGAGATGATAAAATGCCTACATGATGAGATGAAGGGAGATGAAGGATGTAGGCATTGTGATGTAGTGTTAGTCTACTATTGAAAATTTCCTGGGAAAATCAAGGAATGTGTCACAGAGGCTAAATCTGAGCCCTGAAAGATTTGATTTAACACTTCTGAATTGTTTATTTCTGGAATTTACCATTTAATATCTTCAGATCGTGGTTGTCCACAGGTAACTGAAACTGCTAAAAGCAAAACCACGGATATGGCAGGACTACTATAGTTGATTCTCAGATAATCCTTAAATTAGCATTTTATTATTTCTATCCCAAAGATTGTTATTGCCTTTTTTTATAATTATAAAAAACCCTCTATTTCTTTACTTATATACCATTCAAACAGCTTGCATTGCACCAAATGTTTCTACTGAGAGGAACATTAAAGACAGTGTCATAAGGTCTTCCATCAGCCTTTCCTAGGTCATTGGTAGTATCACTAACTAGACATCACTGTTCATCTGACATGGACATACAGACTTTTCTACAGTCCTTAAGCAGGTTGCTATTAGAATCTGTGAGTGATTTCTGGGTCTCTGTCCACTGTCCATTAAATCAAACTTCTTTGGAATTTAGAATTATTTAGAATCTTAAATTTTGTTTTGTGTTTATTTGTTGTCTCTTGATTATCATGATAGTTAATTATAGCTGTATTTGCTTTTTCTTTATAGTAACCATATCTGTACAAAAGTTAATTCAACTCCTGCCTTTATAGGGATAGGGTTGCCATCCAATTTATTGTTCAATTCAAGAGACTTGAGAGTGAAAGGAAGCACCATTAATAATTATGTTGGTACAACAGGCATAAACTGGGATATACGGTTATCCTATCTATTAGCCTTTGTTGAAAATTTACATGGTTCTTCCTGCCAAGGAGCTTACTACTAGAATAAGCCAAAAAAAAAAAAAAAGTACATCTCACACATTTATGTGATATTTGCTTTAAGGTTTAATTTTTTAGAAACAAGATTGTTTTATAATGTGTGTCATCAAAGACACTTCATAGTCATTTGACATGATTTGTTTTGAGTTTTCAGTCCCATGGTTTTCTGTCTGATTTAAGGGCACTTATGAGGGAGTTGTATTAGATGATATTTAAGAAAACTTTTATTTTTAATTGTTTATAATTCTTTAATAGAATTATTTTAGAATTCCAAACAATATTATCCAACAGCAATGCCTATAAGGATAATCGCAGTCATTTATTTACTTTTGAAATAATTGGAATGAAATGATTAGAAAGATCATAGGGGAGACCCAGGAGTCCTTAATAATATTAAGGTACATGTTTTATTTCTTCAGAACAGTGCTATAGCAATGAATTAGAGCACATACGTGGTAAACACTTAGAAATATCATTTGGCAGTGTGTTGAACATTGAAGCTGCTACTGCTTTTCTTTTTCATACGGCCCATCAGGTGGTCACTGTTGAGAGCTGTTAGGTTCTACAAATTATTGCTCAAGAAAAATATATTGGTTAAGCAAAAGAATTAAATATTTTTTGCATATCTTAACAGCCCCCTCTATCACTAGAGATTAATGATTAAACATTCTTATCAGCAACTTAGTGTTATTAAAGCTAATGGTTTATTCAGAAACTAAAATATATCATGAAAGTTTTTGAGGAAGCTGAGAGTGCTCAGACAGTAAAAATAGATACATAGATAGATAGAAGGTTCAGGTGACTGCTCAAACAAAGTCATTTAGTTTGAGGTTTAATTTTTAAAAATAATTTTGGTGAAGCATCTTAAGTCTAATCCTGTGAAATAAAATCCATTCTATAGCCCCAGCCACTCAAGAGGCCAAGGCAGGAGGATCACTTGAGCCAGGAGTTTGCGTACAGCCTGGGCAATATAGTGAGACTCTGTCTCTTTAAAAAAAAAGAAAAAAAATCCTTGTTACAAATATAATTTGTTATAATAACTAATTTTTTCCAAACCTAAATTTTGTTAAAAAAATTTAATCTTCTTTTTAGGATGGTATCGACAATGCAACATTATTCCTTATAGCAAAGATGTTGACCTAGGAATTTTTATACAAGATTACAAATCTGATATTATTTTAGCATTTCAGGATGCAGGACTTCCGCTCAAACACAAATTTGGGAAGGTCAGTAACAAAAGTCGGCTTCATTTCATAAGTAACATATCTCACTTGTAAAGTTTACATTAAGCAACTCAGATATGGTTAAGAATGCTACATACATAATTTTATCACTCAGTATTGACTAGGATGAGTTCAGCAGAAGCCTGTTACCACTTGTAATTTCTGCACTGTCTAGGCAAAAGCAAGAAAATCTGGCTTTCTACTGGGTTGGTGCAAAAGTAATTGTGGTTTTTGCCATTACTTTTGCACCAATAATGATAAGAAAAGAAGGATCTTGAACTCTTATAGGTGAATGTATTGCTATTATATTAGGCAACAATGTAATATAAAATCAATATAATGTATAATATACAATTAATAAGTAAGAATCCCACCCGCCGTACCTGATTGTTTCTCATGAGTCATTTAATTTACAGATGTCATTATCAACATAAAATATTCCATTGATTGCTAAGGGATAGAAATATAGAATCATTTCAAATAAGTACTTCAATTTCTTGTTTATCTTATATGTCCTAGGCTATAGCAGTTTGCTCAGACATCAACTAGGGATAGGTCATTGGGGCCTAGATGAAATCTCCCTCTAGACAATTTGATTCCTATGCCCTAAGCCCATGATCTCTTGCAATCATCTTGTTCTTAATTTGCTTGTCCCCTCGGAGGTGTTACCCTACAAGCAAGTAAAAATATGTTTAGTCGGCTGGGCGCGGTGGCTCACGCCTGTAATCCCAGCACTATGGGAGGCCGAGGCGGGTGGATCATGAGGTCAGGAGATCGAGACCACAGTGAAACCCCATCTCTACTAAAAATACAAAAAAAATTAGCCGGGCGCGGTGGCGGGCGCCTGTAGTCCCAGCTACTGGGGAGGCTGAGGCAGGAGAATGGCGTGAACCTGGGAGGCGGAGCTTGCAGTGAGCTGAGATCGCGCCACTGCACTCCAGCCTGGGCGACAGAGCAAGACTCCGTCTTAAAAAAAAAAAAAAAAAGTTTAGTCACCAGAAAATTATTTTTTCCATCATAAATAGTTATTTTATGTTACTAAAAAATATAAATAAAATATTTTACTGAGGTCAAAGTCAAATAACAGAGCTCTAGTTATTCAGCAAACATTTACCAAACATTCACTATAAGTATGGCACTGTCCTCTGCACCTGGGAGACAAAGATGAATAAATGATAGTTCTTACCCTTGAGAAGCTCACTGTCTAATTGGGAGGGGGAAAGGCTGCATAAATAATTCTGTGATGAGTGCTGTGGCGGACAGATGTACCAAGTCCAATGGGAACGTAATTATTTGTATGATAAGTTTTCTTTAGGGAAATGTTCTCAGAATTATTTATTTTTTTACCTTAACTTTTATTTTTTTCTTTTTTCCATGTGTGTAGTATAATGAGCTAGACTATTTATGTATGTGGCTATGAGGAATGCCACTTTACTTAAGTACTTATTGATTGTTATGAGAGACTTATTTCCTGATAGTTTTATTTGGATTATTAAAGGAAATAATATTTCTTTGGTTCTTTTCCTTTTTTAGTCAGAAAGCTGCTCTGGAATAGGATATTTCTATTTTTTTTCTGCAGTGATAATTACCATAAGTCATTTACTCTGAGTTATCATCAATTGTAAGAAACATTATTTTAGATGCAGTTAAGAAATTAAATGATATGTTACTGATGCATCCCAATTTCAGAGGTGCCTTAACTTGAAAAAATGTGCATCTTAGAATGAATACTCTATGTATGTAAAACTTAAGAATCTGTTTCTTTATTTTTATTTTTTAAAAAAAGGTTTTTAAAAATGTATTTCCTTTGTTTCAGTGTGTGAAGGTTTTCATCTTCCCCATAGGTAGAAGACAGCTTGGAACTATCCTTCCAGGGAAAAGATGATGTAAAACTTGATGTTTTTTTCTTCTATGAAGAAACTGATCACATGTGGAATGGAGGCACTCAGGCCAAAACAGGAAAAAAATTCAAGTATGAATCAAATAAGTACTTATTTATAAAGGTACTACAGAAATAATTTCAGGAGGTAGAAATAAAGAAGTAACTGAAAAGAAAACCAAAAATCTCTTTCAAGACTCCATTATTAGCTAACACTTTCTTAGCTTACCCATAGAGTCCAGTTATGCCTGTGAAGTAAGAATACCTGTAAGGACGGTTTGTGAGGAGGAAGTGTCCCTGGGTTTGTCAGTCCAAGTTGATGATACAGCTGGTCTATTCTCAGTTCTGAGAGAGAGAATGAGAATGAGAACCTGAAGAGCATGGGTTTTAGAGTCAGGCTGACCTGGGAAACCTTAGCTCCACCCTAATTTGTGGCCTTTAGATTTTCTGAACGTAATCATTTTATCCATTACATTGAGTAATACTACTGTGTGTCAGGCACTATTCTGAACGTTTTACATATATTAACCCATCTAGTCCTCAAAATAACCTTCAGAGGTAGATATTCTGAAGCCAGTGTGATTGCTGTTGAATCTCAGCTCTTTATTTTACCAGCTATATTACCTTGAGCAAGTTATTTAACCTCTCTGCCTAAGTTTCCTCAGCTGTAAAATGGAAATTATAGTAGAAATTGCCACATAGAGTGGTTTTAAGGATTAAAAGAATTAATACACAAAAAGAGCTTTGAGGTGTGTCAGGAGGTCCTGGGTGCTAAGTAATTATTACCTGCTGTTACTAATACTACTATAGTAGTAGTAGTAGTAGTAGTAGTAGTAGTAGTAGTAGTAGTAGTAAAGAAAACTATTTCTCTTCTTATTCTCATGAGAAATTTACAGATTAGAGACATGTATAATTATCTCAATATTAAACTGTTACATCTATTCTTAGAGAACTTCTGTAAGAGTGTCACCTTTTTTCTAAGAAAGATAATTTCTAGAGCCAGTATTAGAGTCCTGTTATTCTTAAATTACTTTCTAAGGCTTGAATTTTTTCTCTCACTGACATGATCCGAAACCTGCAAACCTCAAAAGAACTGTTCATTTCCAACTACTACATTTCTGGAGAGAAAAAGCTTCTTTCATTCTGCTTTAACAGCTCTTTATAGTAGCAGTGTTTGGGAAGTGTGAAGTGTTCTGATTATTTAACAAGAGAAATGAGCAGTGATAGAACTGTCTGGACAGATGGTGTGAGTCCCAGATTTTCTATCATGTTACTGTGACCTTAAAAGGCAGAGAAAAGAACAGGAGATGGCTGAGTAGAGTAGTTTCTTTGGAAGATTCCCCCAGCCATATGCCATTTTTATTCTTTTCGGCACTATTTACTTTAAGAAAATGTAGTATTTTTAACACTACTATTCCTTGGGGATGAAGAAAAACAAAATGTTTAAAGCTAGTTCAAGGGTCTTTTTAATGTATTTTAAATTTTTGAATAGATTATACATTACATAGTTAAAATATTCAAAGAATATAAAGGATGTGTATGAAAAGTTAACCTTTCTCCATCCTCTGCCCCTCATTTTCCCGTTTCTAGTTGCCCTTTACAGAGATAACCATGATTACTCATTTCTTATGTATCCTTTCCGAGACAAACATATGCTCGTATACATATAGTATTTACGTTCATCTCTCCCCCTTTACACAAATAGTATTATGGCATATTACACACTGTCTGTATGTTCTTTTCCTCACATAGCTATGTATCTTGGAAAATGTTCCAAATGAGTATGTATAGAAATAGCTGCATTTTATTCCATTGTATGGCAATACCATAATTTATTCAACCAATTCCCTATTGATGAATATTTAGGCTGTTTCCAGTAGTTTACTGTGACCCTCAGTTCTGCAGTCACTATCTCTGTCCATATGTCTTTATGCACACGTGTGAAACCCTGTGCAGGATAAAGTATTAGACTCAAATTTTGGGGCTAAAGGGAATATAAGCATATTTCAATTTTGATAGATATTGCCAAATTGCCCTCCAAAGATGTTTCCCCAATTTATATTCTCAACCACATGGTTTGAGAATATGGGTTTATTTTTTAAAAGTGCACTATCTGTAAAGAGAGGTAAACTTGCTCAATATTTGCCACTAATCAGTAACTTATCAATTACTTGTAATCAGTAACTAAATCTACCATACACCAAATATAATTGGGAGCACATTAGAATTACTGTTCAAACTAGTCAGTATAATGTATCATCTCACCTTCTCCAAAGGTCTTTTTGTCTTTATAATAACCTATTTTTTATTTTATATATAGTTCATTCTGAGAAAAGCTTAATAATATAGAATGCTTACTATTTTTTAAAAGGCAGAAGAGGAACTCAAGAAGGAAGAAAAAAGATTTTCTTTCTAAACTACTCTGCAGGACTATAGAATGATATCTTTGGTCCTAAGATTTAACAGTATATTAAGAGTAATAAAAAAGATAAAGCTTCCAGGATATCTGCTACCTATCAGGCACTGTGATAGGTAGTTCATATATATATTTATATATATAATCTGGTTAATCCTCATACTATCCCTGTGGGTTCGGTATTCTCACCTCCAGTTAGACATTAGGAAACTAAAGCTCAGAGTGAAGTAACTTACTCGAGGCTTTTGACTGTTAATGGCAAGATCAAGATTTAATGCCAGACCTGTTTGACCCCTAAGCCTAAATGCTTTCTTCTTAGAGTTAATAGGTTAAGTGAGTTAGTACATCTAATGCATTTAGAACAGTACCTGGCACATTGTAAGTATTGTGTAAGTAGTAGCTACTGTCAGTACTGTATTATTATTATTACTGTTACTGTTATTATAATTACCATGCTGCACTGGCATAAGGTATGGTACTTTCAGCACAGTGGTAAATTGGATTAGTAATTTTCTAGGCAGGCATATTTTCTTCCTCCGTCTCATGATACTCATTCCGTCTTTAGTTCTCAGTCTTTCACTTCTTTATAGGAAGCCCTTCTTTTACCTGAAATCCAAATTCCATTTAAAAATATTGACTGGATTCTTTATTCTGTTTTTCTCCAGCATCCAAATCTGCCAGTAATAAAAGTGATGAATATAATAACTATGCCTCCAGAATGTGAAGTTCTTAATTCAACTTCACATTTCCTAAAGATGCTGCCTAGATTTATTTGGTTTGCTTCTTTCCTTCCCATTTTGAATCAACTGGTATGGGTAGAAGCCAGAAGTTTGAAAGGTAATAATAATAGTTAACTTTATTGAATACTTACTATAAGCCAATCAATATGCCAAGCTTTTATATGTGTTATCTTATTTAATCCTCACAATAAGTTTATAAAGGAGATTTTATCATCATCACCTTTATTTTATGGATGAGCAAATTAAGGCAGACCTGAGTCAGACCTAGGTGTGTATCACTTCAGAGCCCATGTTCTTACTAAGTTAGTGTCACCATGATCTCTATCATGTTGTTAATACCCCTTCCATGAAAACATTATCAGGGTAATACAACTACTGCTACATCCTCTAATAGGAAATCTACTCCTTGGGCTAGTAGTGGGTTCCTTATACCTTCTGACAGTTGCAGCTTCTGATTATTGGATAGATCTTCAGAAAATTCAGATTCATCCTCTGTGGACCACACTCCCATCCAGGTGTGGATCCTGTGTAATTTATCACTTCATTTCTGTAAAATGTATTTACCAACTGCTATGTGCTAAGGATACTGATGTGACTGTAACTTAGTTTCTGCTCTTAAGGATCTCATGATCTAGACCATGAGACATGTTAAAGTACTCTGATAGCAGTACTGTAATCAAATATGTATAATCTATAGTTGAAGTACCAAATCAGCCATATCTAGAAACAATGGCAAAGAAGTGTGGCTTACAAGTAGAGAAATTTGTTAGGTAGACTTAGGAGAAATGTGGGAAAAGTCCTAAAAATAGATTTATTTAATGATTTTTAAATTAGTTTATTTCTATTTTTTAATTTAAAAAATTCTGTGGGCATCTGTATACGTAAAGTAAAAACTTTAAGGGGTTGTTTCCTTCAATAGATACCCAAAGGTAGAATTATTAAGTCAAAAGATATGAGCCTTTTAAAGAGTTTTGATACATATTGCCAGGTTGCATTCCTAAAAAGTTATGCAAAATTTTATACAGTCACCAACATAAATGAGCATGCTTAGTTTGCTATATCATACTGAGTGTTGCATTGTACTCACAGTCATTCATGACTCCCCTGATAGTTTCTTTGAGTAACTTTTCTTTTCACTTTCTTCTTATTATCCCAAGGTATCTTCTATCATAAAACCAGGTCAGTCATTAGTAGCAAGTTACCAACAATTATTACCTTTCTGGCCAGGCACAGTGGCTCATGCCTTTAATCCCAGCACTTCGGGAGGCCAAGGTGAGAGAACTGCTTGAGCACGGGAGTTTGAGACCAGCTTGGGCAACAGAATAAACCCTGGCTTTATATAAAAATTTTTTAAAAATTACCCAGGCATGGTGGCATGTGTCTGTGGTCCCAACTACATGGGAGGCTGAGACGGTAGGATCACCTGAGCCCAGGAAATCTAGGCTGCAGTGAGCCACATTTGCACCACTGTACTCCAGCCTAGGTGACAGAGCAAAACCAAAAAAAAAAAAAAAAAAGAAAAAGAATCATTACTTTTCTCTTAACTATTCCTAACATCAACTGGCTTTTAGTATACATCTAACCCCCTCCCTGTCGTCCCAGTCTCCCTTTCAAAATCCAGCTTTAAAATATTACAGTGCATTTTGAATGTCTTGTTATAGGTGTTTGTTAGACACTTATTATATAGAGACTTTTATATTTAAGCTTTATACAAGTGTGATTTTAGCTGAGTGAGCCCAGGAATTAGAAGACCTGAATTCAAATCTGAGTTCTATTTTTTTGTGTCATATAACCTTCTGAGCTTCAGATTTCTCCTCTTAAAATGGGAATAACACTGCGTACTTCACAGGGTATAATGCTTCGATTAAATACTGTGTAGTTACCTGATTCAGTGCTTGGCACGTAATAGATTCACAACTGTTTGCTAATTCTAAATTAGGCAGGCAGAGCATAGAAGTCTGATTAGGAAGATTCATTGCTAGGTAGCAATTAGAAAAAAAATCACATGGTAGTGAATTAAAGCCTACCAAATGTTACAGAGATGAATATAAACTTGTATTACATATAACTGCAGAGAGATATAGTTTATAGGAAAAAAACGTGTAAAGAGTACTGATTCTTTGGAAGTTTTCTCTGAAAGTGAGGGTTGAGTCAGCACAATTTGAATGAATATTGTTGAATGGGGAATTGCTATTAAGTTAGATTTGGTTGCCTCTAGGAAAAGAGACTTAGGGCCATGTAAAGATGATATTTGGCAATGCTGGTAAACTGGTTAATTGCCAGAAAGTCTTGTTGTTTGGTGGGGTTTTTGACTGGATGTAATAAAGAATCTCTCTCATAAGGCTTTTGGTGGAGAATGTAGTAAGACACAAGTCCTGTTGAGGAATATTGTTCTTGCTAGTGTGTGTAGGCATGGAAAGCTGGTATAGTGAGGAAGACTTGGGTGGTTGAGGACCTATGCTAAACAGGAGGTGACCGGAAGAAATGGTAAAAGAACTTAGCACCATGCCTGGCTGTGAACAAGGGGAGTCCAAGAAAACTAAGTGTCCAAAATAACATATAAGTTTATAATCTTAGAGCTAGAGAAAAATTAGGAAATAGTGGATTATTATGTTTTTAATTGAAGTGTAACATACATACAGAAAACTATACAAAGCAAATGTATGGCTCCAAGAATTATCAAATGAACAAATGTGTAACCAGCACCCCAGTAAAAAAAAAAAAGTATTTGTCAGCACCCCAGAAACCCATATCATTTTCCCTCACGATCATAGCTCCTGTTTCCCACAAGGTAACAGCGATGCTAACTTCTGGTATTACAGTTTAGTTTTACCTGTTTTTTTATTTTATATAAACTAGATGGTATGTTGCTGGCTTCTTTTCATTCAACATTGTATTTGTGAGAACCATCCATATTTTTACATGTTGTGGCTCTTCATTTTCTTTGCTGTGTAGTAGTTAATTGTATGAATATATCACAAATATTTATTAAGTCCACTAACCCAAATAGTAGTTGGATATTTGGGTTGTTTTCAATTTGGGGCTATTATAGGTGATGCTGTAGTGAACATTTCTGTACGTGTCTTTTAGTGCCCTGGTACATGCTTATCTTAGTTTGCTCAGGCTGCTATAACAAAATACCATAAACTGGGTGGCTCATAAACAGAAATTTATTTCTCAGGTTTCTGGATGATGGGAAGTCCAAGATAAAGGTACCAGCATGGTCAGGTTCTGGTGAAGGCCCTCCTCCTGGTTGTAGACTGCTGATTTCTCCTCACATGGTGAAAGGAGCAATCAAGCTCCCTTAGGCCTTTTTTATAAAGTTTCCATTCCTGAGTGTTTCACCCTCATGACCTAATCACCTCCCAAAGGTCTTACCTCTTAATACCGTCACCTTGGAGGTTAGGATTTCAGCATATGAATTTTGAGGAGACATAAACATTCAAACCACAGCAATGTTTTTCTATTGGGTTTACACATAAAGTTTGGGATTGCTTGGTCGTAGGGTATTCTTGTGTTCAATTTCAGCATATTGTTTACAAATAGTTTTCCAAAGTTATTCCAAGTTATATTCCAGTATGTTATAGAACTTTCCATTGCCCCACATTTTTACCAACGCTTGGCATTGTCAGACTTCTTAATTTGTAACCATTTTGGTAGGTGTGTAGTGTTACCAAATTGTAGTTTAGATTTCTTTTTCCTTGACTTAATGAAGGCAAGTTCATGTTTACTGACCATTTGGATATCCTCTTTTGTGAGTTACTGGCTGAGTATCTTGTCAGGGTTTTTTTCTGAGTTGTCTGTCTTTTTCTTACTTGAAAATATCTTCTCCCAATTTGTGCCTTTCTTCTTTATTCTTTTTTTTTTTTTTTTGAGACAGAGTTGTCACCCAGGCTGGAGTGCAGTGGTGTGATCTTGGCTCACTGCAACCTCCACCTCCCAGGTTCAAGCAGTTCTCATGCCTCAGCCTCCTAAGTAGCTGGAATTACAGGCACATTCCATCATACCCAGCTATTTTTGTATTTTTAGTAGAGATGGGGTTTCACCATGTTGCCCAGGCTAGTCTCAAACCCCTGACCTCAAGTAATCTGCCCTCCTCGGCCTCCTAAAGTGATTGGAATACAGGCATGAGCTGCCATGCCAGCCCTTCTTTACTCTCTTAATAGTGATTTTTGGTGAATAAAAAGTTATTTTAATGTAGTTCAGTTTATCTATTATGGGTAGTATTATCGTGTCCTGTTTAAGAAATCTTTCCCTATCCCAAGATAATGAAGCTATTCCTCTTGTACTACCTTCTAGAAACTTTATTGTTCTATATGTAATATGAAGTAAAGATCAAATTTAGACTCTATACTTTATTTGGATTCACTAGCTTTTCTACCAATGTGCTTTTTCTGTTCTAAGATCTAATCCAGGATACCACATTGCATTTAGACACTCTACCTTTTGAAACTTTATTTTGGTCCAAGATTTTAAGCTTGTCACTAGTAATACTAGATTATCATACATCACTGCATGTCCCACTTCTGCTCATTCAAGGGCCTTACGTTGCTGTCTGTTTGAACTAGCTTCTTGGTACCTTGATCTGGAAATAATCTTCTCTTCCTCTGCATTTCTATAGATTTTCTTTTTCTTTCCCTCTCTCATGCTTTATTGGAGTACTTTTGCTGATTTGTCTGTCCTTTCTATGTGATAGATAAAATCAGGCCTGGTACATGTTTGGCTAAGTGAGACCTGAGCCCTACATGAAACTAAGTCAGATCCTCTTAAGTGTAGTCTACACTGTTTTGTTAAGATGATAAGGTGACACTGGGTTGATGACTTGATCCAACCTAACGTGGTTGGAGAATTAAAACTATAGAATTAAGTTAGCCTAGTTGTTTTCAATCATTCTGCTTCACAAGAAGTTAAAAGACTAGAGGTATTTGTTGAATCCTCACTCATTGTCTCTCTCAGCTTCACAGATTGATACTGTGCTCCTACAGTTGTAACTCCAAGAAACACATTTGTCTTTTTAGTACTTACAGCTGTGAAGCTAAAGGCAAATTTGAATAATTTCTTTAAATGAGTGTATTTAAAACATTGACTTTTCTATGAATGATCTCGTATTTTCTGCTCTGTTTATGCGTTTATATTTTACAACATACAGATTATGTCTTAGGTCTCCTTAATTATACCTCCAAACCGCTAGTAAGTAGCAGGTGCAAAATTGAGGAATTGAGGGAAGAACTTTGAATGCATGTTATATGGGAATTGTATACTTATACAATATGTAGAAGTAGCAGTTATTTATATAGCAAGCTTTGTTTATTTTTTTAAGAGAAGATTGCCTCCAGATGAATAAGCAGTAAATCTTTCATTTATGTGAAGTAAGTTATGTTTTTTAAAACTGTCGAATAGTTTGTTGTTTGAACATAATTCTATAAGATATTATATAGGATAGTATTCTAAGAGAAATAAAAGCATATTTTCAGTAAAAGACTTGTACACAGATGTTTATAGCAGTCTTACTCATACTAGCAAGAAATGGAAGCAACCCAAATGCCCATCTTCTGGTGACTAGTTATAAAATTATGATATATTCAAACAATGGACTACCACTGAACAATGAATAGCAATGAACTACTGATAAATGCAATAACATGGATGAATTTCTAAAACATGATGCTAAGTGAAAGAAGTCAGATAGGAAGAGTATATACTGTGTACTTGCTGTTATTTGAAATTGCACAGGAAAAACCAACCAACAGTGTAATAAGATTAGTGGTTGCCTAGGACCAGGGTGGGTTGATTGCTTGACTGACAAGGGGCACAGGGAACTTTGGACGAGGGGTTGGTAGAAATGTTCTATATCTTGATTATTGTGGTTACACAGGTATATACATTTATCAAAACTCATCACTTAAGATAGATGCATTTCATTATACTTAACTTATACCTCAAAAGAAGTTACCTTAAAAGTTTAAGACTGGGCACAGTAACCCATCAGCATTTGGGGAAGACCCGGTGAGAGGATCACTTGAGCCCAGGAGTTCAAGATAAGCCTGGGCAACATAGGGAGACCCCATGTCTACAAAAAAATAAAAACTAAACTTAAAAAAGGTTAAAAAGATAAAAAACAGTTTGTGACTTAGAAAACTGATGCTAAGAGAAAAAGGGTCTGAGATCACAGGTTGAAACAGAGGGATATATGGGACCAAAAGCAATGAATTTGGTCAGGGCAGACCTAATTGCAATGATAAACTTTGAGACTTTCACATATGATTAAACAAATTGTGTAATCTGATAGTAAAGCCTTTTGTATTGAGTATGAAAATTGAAACTATAATTTAATTCTTTTAAAAATTATCCATTATATACAAGGAGAAATCCTGTAAAAGTCTGAAGGAAAGCAAGCACAACTGGAGTCTAACTGGTTGTTGAAGTGCTATTAGATCTAGTTCTGGGAAGTTATGTGGTTATGTAGAGCTATAGAGTTTTTGGAAGTTATGTAGTTATGTCCCAAGGCTTTGTCCTCTGGCATTGAGGAAAACTTTAGTACTTGTTTTAAATTGATAGTTTTTAATGTAGTCATTATGTGTATGTATATATACATGCTGCTCTAAAGACACATGCACACATATGTTTATTGTGGCACTATTCACAATAGCAAAGACTTGGAACCAACCCAAATGTCCATCAATGATAGAATGGATTAAGAAAATGTGGCACATATACACCATGGAATACTATGCAGCCATAAAAAAGGACAAGTTCATGTCCTTTGTAGGGACATGGATGAAGCTGGAAACCATCATTCTCAGCAAACTATCGCAAGGACAGAAAACCAAACACTGCATGTTCTCACTTATAGGTGGGAATTGAACAATGAGAACACTTGGACACAGGGTGGGGAACATCACACAATCACACACTGGGGCCTGTCGTGGGGTAGGGGGAGAGGGGAGGGATAGCATTAGGAGATATACCTAATGTAAAGGACGAGTTAATGGGTGCAGCACACCAACATGGCACATGTATACATATGTAACAAACTGGCACGTTGTGCACATGTACCCTAGAACTTCAAGTATAATTAAAAAAAAGAAAAAAGAAAAATCTGGGATGGCTGGCTTTAGTTTATACTCAGCTGTGTTACATTAACTCTCTCAAAACAAAATGCGGTAGATAACTAGGTCAATAAATGTGATCATTAGTTAAAATGTGAAAATGATAAAATTTTCTAGAAAAATAAATACCAAAATCAACTCAAAAAGATCTAGATAACCTATATTCATTCGAGACAGTGAATTAGTAATCCGAAATCCTCCTTTCTCCCTCTTTTCCCTACCAGAGTATACTAAAACCTAGAAAGTTTGCTGCAAAGTTTCACTGTGCCTTCACAGAACAGATTATCCCTGTATTGTACAGCTTATTTCAGGCAATAGAAAAAGAGAAAACTAAATAACTATTTTATGAGAGTGATAGCAAAAGTGGACATGAACAATACCAAAAAAAATTTTTTAAGGGAAATTACTGTCTCAGTGAATACAGTGAAAAAATACTAAATGAATAGAATTTTGTAGTGTGTACATATTAATGTAATTCTCTGTATTAAAGGATTAAAAGATTAAAGGAACAAAAACACTATGATTGTTTTAATAGATGACATTAACATTTTTTGATAAATTTTATAATTAACCAAAAGGAGAGAGACCTCTTAGCAAATTTGGATTAAAAGGAATCTAGGCTGGGCATGGTGGCTCACATCTGTAATCTCAACATTTAGGGAGGCCGAGGCAGGTGGATCACTTGAGGCAGGAGGTCAAGACCAGACTGGCCAACATGGTGATACCCCAACTCTACTAAAAATAGAAAAATTAGCCAGGTGTGGTGGTGTGCGCCTGTAATCCCAGCCACTCCAGAGGCTGAGGCAGGAGAATTGCTTGAACCCGAGAGGTGGAGGTTGCAGTGAGCTGAGGTCGCACCACTGTACTCCAGCCTGGGTGACAAAGCGAGACTGTCTCAAACAAACAAACAAAAAAATCTGAAATTTCTTTTACCTAATAAAGAGAATATAACAAAAACCTAGAGTGAGCAATCATGTTTAATGATAAAACTTTAGAAGCCCTTCCATTAAAATCAGAAAAACGTTAGGAATGTGTGCTAGCCCTGCTTCTATTAAACAATATGCTAGAGGGCTTAGGCACTGGAATAACATGAGAAGAAATTAAAAGTTAAAAGAAGAGAAAAAATTGGTAGTGAGAATAAACCATTTATGTTTTGTAGGAAATTCTTGTCAAGAATGGCTCTACTGCTCCAATTCTAGAGTTAATGTAAAACTTAAGTTTAAAAAAGCCAGGTTCGGGAACAGGCAACCTACAAAATGGGAGAAAATTTTTGCAACCTACTCATCTGACAAAGGGCTAATATCCACAATCTACAATGAACTCAAACAAATTTACAAGAAAAAAACAAACAACCCCATCAAAAAGTGGGTGAAGGACATGAACAGACACTTCTCAAAAAAAGACATTTATGCAGCCAAAAAACACATGAAAAAATGCTCATCATCACTGGCCATCAGAGAAATGCAAATCAAAACCACAATGAGATACCATCTCACACCAGTTAGAATGGCAATCATTAAAAAGTCAGGAAACAACAGGTGCTGGAGAGGATGTGGAGAAATAGGAACACTTTTACACTGTTGGTGGGACTGTAAACTAGTTCAACCATTGTGGAAGTCAGTGTGGCGACTCCTCAGGGATCTAGAACTGGAAATACCATTTGACCCAGCCATCCCATTACTGGGTATATACCCAAAGGACTATAAATCATGCTGCTATAAAGACACATGCACCCGTATGTTTATTGCGGCATTATTCACAATAGCAAAGACTTGGAACCAACCCAAATGTCCAACAATGATAGACTGGATTAAGAAAATGTGGCACATATACACCATGGAATACTATGCAGCCATAAAAAAGGATGAGTTCATGTCCTTTGTAGGGACATGGATGAAACTGGAAATCATCATTCTCAGTAAACTATCGCAAGAACAAAAAACCAAACACCGCATATTCTCACTCATAGGTGGGAACTGAACAATGAGATCACATGGACACAGGAAGGGGAATATCACACTCTGGGGACTGTTGTGGGGTGGTGGGAGGCGGGAGGGATAGCATCGGGAGATATACCTAATGCTAGATGACGAGTTAGTGGGTGCAGTGCACCAGCATGGCACATGTATACATATGTAACTAACCTGCACAATGTGCACATGTACCCTAAAACTTAAAAGTATAATAAAAAAAAATATATATATATATAAAAATAAAAAATAAAATAAATAAAAAAGCCAGGTTCAGTTATAGTTGATGTTGTCTCTATCTCTCTGAGCCTAGTAATAATAAAACACTGTTGGTTCTGGGATAGTGGAAGAACTTCCTTTTCATTTAGCAGTTGTATTCATAGGTTGTGCTTAAACTGATTGTAATTAAACTGATGAAATTATCCAACTACCACCAAGTAGTTGTATAGATTTTAAGGATATCTGTGAGGGAAAAAAATGGTCTATTCCAATTATTGAACTACTGTTTTATGTAAAAATAATATGAAATAAAAGTGGTATGAAATAGAAAATGGATGGAAGGATTTTTTTGTGGTAATAATATCTCTTAAACTTATATTCTGATTTAGGGTTGCCTTAGTCTGCATTTAAACCTGTTCACATGCTGGATCCAATCCCAGGGCCTTAAAGTACAAACTGCTTAGCCGAACTTAGTCTTAGCTTTAAAAGCCAAGGTAACATTGCAGACCCATGGTGTATTTTAGTCTTAGTCATTATTTACTGGTAGCCTGGACAGAGTGCATGGCATGTGCTGTTCTGTGTCATTCACTCTCCTTCACTTCCTCCCTACAATCCTATTTTATAATCAGTTTTTACATTTTATTGTTTGTTTATCTTTCCTCTTAGGAAGCTGGGATTTTCTTTTTGCTGAATGGATTGAAAAATAATTGGGGAAAAGGAAACCACAAAGAGTTTAGAGAGGTTTCTGTTAAGTACAAAAATTAACATTTGAGTTAAATTGTCTTCGAATTATTTTCACATTATTTATATATTTAAAATGTTTTGGCTTTGCTCATAAATTCTTCATTGTTCAAAACATTGCTTTTGTAAAATTTGTAGTATTCCCTTTCACCTTATCTATCCTGTATCTATTATTATTTTTCCCTCTTTCAGCTTTTTGATGAGACCACAAAGGATAATACTTAGAGGAGTTTCCTGGCCTGTATTACAAGATAGACCATGAGTTCTGCCTCAATTCAACTTCATTGTGTCAACTTGATAGGATAAGACAGGTGGACATTCTGCTAACCAGCATCTGATTAGAGAGGGTGGAGGCTGGTGATGGATTGTTAGGTGTGATGACAAAATAAGCAATTCCGTTAACATGAGTGTGCAGAGTAAAATTGGGACCAGCAGATGGTGGGGCTAAGCTGTATCTTATTTCTCAGCTATGAGATTTTCCGTGGCCACCTTTTCACAGTAGCCAGCTGGGATTGTCCATTAACTGGGTTTGAGTAAAAGGGAGTTGTTGCTTTCTTTAGAATTTGTTCAGCCTCTCCTTTTCATGTATGGCTTTATGTTCATTTGGTAGTAAAACACGATATTCAAAGGCAGAATATATGAGAACTGACCTTTTCTTGGAGAACATCCCAGTTAGATCCCATTTCCACAATATGATTACACTTTGAAATCTGGCTTTTCCCTGTTCTTTCTTTAATCCTCTGATATTTTAAATTCCTGTAATCTCTGCTATTGCCACTTTAAACCTCATTACTGAAAGTTCTTCCCACACTGAAACACTTCTCAGAAAAAAAATGCAGAATATAGAGCAGAGCTATAATATAAACTTAAACAGACCTGCTAGTTTTAGCTTTCTTTTCTAGTATACATAATTTAGTTTACTTGATCCAAAGGATCTTTAAGAAACATGTTTTGGTTTAATTTCTGTTTGTTTTGTTTTTTTTTTTGAGACAGGGTCTCACTGTGTCACCCGGGCTGGAGTGCAGTGGCGTGATCTTGGCTCACTGCAACCTCCACCTCCAGGGTTCAAGTGATTCTCCTGCCTCAGCCTCCTGAGTAGCTGGGACGACAGGAGTGTGCCACCACACCCAGCTAATTTCTTTGTATTTTTAGTAGAGATGGGGTTTCGTCATGTTGGCCGGGCTGGTCTCGAACTTCTGGCCTCAAGTGATCTACCTGCCTCAGCCTCCCAAAGAGCTGGGATTACAGGCGGGAGCCACCACGACCGGCCTGGTTTAATTTCTAAAACTTACCTACTAATCGACTTAGTTCTGCAATAAATATAGTTACAATCATTATAACTAGTATTCCTTGGGCTGGTTTAAAGATGTTCTTTAGCATTTGAGATGAAAGGCAGAAACCACAGGTAGGATCATGTAAGCTATGGAACCAAAGGAAAAGCCTGGAAATGCAACTTGGAGTCCTGCTTACTCTGTATCCTTGGAAAATCCAGATTGTGAAAGAAAAGAAAAAGATCATTTTCATCCATCTTTTGACAGCTTTCTACTTTGACACTTCTTTCCTCTACAGTTCCAACAGAAAGCCCAAGGCTGACTTTGATTTGCCTGACTTGGGTATGTTCCCATCCCTGCCTCAATCATTAACTTACTGGCCTGAGTCTTAGTGATGGGGTCAGCCTCTCCTCAATCCTATGAGCTTGGAACAGGAAAGGAAAATTGGAGAAGAGGAAAGGGATTCTGGACAGTCAAAAATAATTAAATATCCACTCTCTTCCCAAAGCTGTGTAATGGGAGAGCACTGTCCTTCAGCCAATAATGCACTAGCAGCTAGATTCCTTAGCTAGACCTTCTTCCACTGTTGAAGCCTAATCCCTCTGTTTTGCTGCAGATACCTGTTTCCGAAGTTTACACTGTGCTGGACTGAGTTTGTAGACATGAAGGTCCATGTACCCTGTGAAACCCTCGAATACATTGAAGCCAACTATGGTAAGACCTGGAAGATTCCTGTAAAGACGTGGGACTGGAAGCGCTCTCCTCCCAATGTGCAACCCAATGGAATCTGGCCTATTTCTGAGTGGGATGAGGTTATCCAGTTATATTGAGATAGTAGGTTGAAATGGGAGAATTTCTCTTTTGGAAAAAAAGGTAGATAACTGTTTAAAAAATACATGTCTATTTGTCAAACATAAGTGGGAACCAAAGAAAAAATGTGACAAGTTTGAAGACACAGAAAGAGTCATCTGATGTAATTCTCTCACTTAGTACTGAGGAATTTTCATGTGCCACATACAATGCTAGGTTACAGTGGAGAAGCCTAGATGAATGAGACAAATACCTACTTCTTTTATTCCTCCTTTTGGTAAACAACTCAATTTTCCTTTGAGGGAACCCTCCCCCACCCTTTGAAGAGTTCAAGTTCTGTACAGGTTTTTAAAACGTGAAGTAATGTTTGAACTGGAAGATGAGCTCACCAGGCAAAGCTAAGGAAGGATATACTAGTTGAAAAGAATAACCCACTCCTCTTCTGGGCATTTAAGCTGGTATGTTAGTGCTACTTTTAAGATTGTGGAGTCTGAGTTAATATTCAAGTGATCAGACTTTGAGTGACATCAAGAAAAGATGATATCAGGTTCATTTTTCAACTAATCTTATGTGGAATTGAATTAGAGAACAAGGCATTATTCTTTTAGGGAAGGTGAGAGCTTATTTGTATCAGAGCTTATTACTTGTCAGGATAAGTAAATTTCTGTACATGTACTGTTTTCATATGTGAAGTGAGAAGAAACTTTATGCTTGTTTAATGCTTAAATTTCCATCCATTGTGAGAATATTTTCACTGACCTCTGATGGCACTTGTTGACAAATCATTCAAGTGAGACCATGTTACTAGACATGATCTTGAAAGAGGCCATGATTTCACAAAACTCATTTTTATTTTATTCTCAGACAGTCTGTTAGGTAAAAATATGAGAAATTCATGTACATTTTATATTTTCTGAATTTATAATCTGTGCACTCCCAATTTTAATGACACTAAAATATTAATAGAATTTTTTAAATATACTCTAATTTTTAAAACATACTCTTTATTATCTTCATTTATCAATTACAGCTTCGTATCTCTAATTTATGGTCTATATACCAATTTAAATGGCATGTAAACCTGCCTGTTTCTTCTCCTCTTCTAATATATCAGATCTCCAAAATGGAAGCTAAATGGTGGACTTGACAACTATTCACCCTACCTCAGATCATAGAGTTTGTAAAGTTTGTGTCCCTCCCCAGTTTTTCAGTCTGTTGAATGTCGATGGGGCAAGAACTCAGACTTCTACTTTACCAAGTACCACACACTCTGGAATGCTTTAGTTTCCTTTTCCCCTCAAGATGTCTGAGTCAGCTAGGATGCTGTTTACCCCATCTCTCTCTTATATCACTTGAATGATATATTGTAAGTGAGAGGTAAAGGAAAATGTAGGCACAATAAGCACTGCTATTTTTCTCTTTGTCTAGGAAAGGAAGCTGAATCTTATATCTTATCTATGCTATTTAGGACTACTTTCTGGAGCTTGGCAGATTTTCCTCTGACACCAGAGAACAATAGTAGTCTCAAGAATGGAAACCTGAATGTCTGAGGGAATGGGCTGGTAGACTTTTTCGAAAACAAATTAGAGAAAGTAACTTACAACCACCCATTCCGGATTTGTAAAGCAACATGAAAACCTTTGATAAATGATAACCAACAGTCTTCTGTCCTAATTTGCATTCTCAATGCAGAATTATTGGGTCTTTCATAAATAACATGAGTGGTTTCTGGAGACATTTAAGATTGTCAGCAAACTTGTCCCAAAATGGCACATCATCATAATCCATTTTCTCTTTGCTAGAAAATCAGCCCATAGAGTGCATTCCCAAATTCTAAATAGCTGACCCTAAATTCATTTTTCATGCTTAAAAATAATAGAACAAATAATAATACTATTTTTGGGCAAAATCCACCCTACTTGATGAGGACCATTTGCTTGTGCTCAGTATTTAGAAATGCATACACTCCACATTTCTCCCCATTTCCAATTGGGACTCCCATTCTTTGCCAGGAGATCTTACCCATCCCTTTTCAGATTAATCTTTTATCCTTTCCTGAAGTACAAAGTCTTAAGAGTGTCTGAAATCCAAGACATCTTGGCCCAATTGACACAGGTTCTATATTCTTCCCTACATAGACCACTGGCTGCTGAAATACTTTTCTTGTCTTCTGGTTTCACAGGCTTCAGCTCATGGGTTCCACCCTAACTTGGGGAAACAAAAGCCTTCTCTAGAATCTGAAGGCCAGGCTTACCTCTGATTCTGATTCATCCATACTTCATCTTATGTATTTTAACAGTTGGGTTCTGTGGAGTGTCCAGAGACCTTGGGTTAGGTATATCCATCTTCAGTACCTCATTGGATCACTTTTCTTTCATCACTTGAGTATTCTAGCAGTCATTCTCCTAATCTGACCACTTTCAGGTTTAGTTTACCTGGCTTACCTGGGGAAGTTGACAACTTGTTGGTAGTTAGGCACCCATGAATGTCTCCAGAGACATCCTGAGAGGCAAGATTCCTCTTAATTGATAACCAGGACAACCAGGTAGTCACCCAGTCCTCTCTAAGCAGGGAGCACTTGTCCTTCTCTCCTCTGCTGCAGCTACTGATATCTGGCCCCTGGAATAAAACCATAGTTCCTAAAATTGAGCATCCCTAAGAGTAGCTGCTTGGTGGGACAGCTGATTTCTTTGATTCCCTAGCTGCAAAACCTGAAATTGACCACTAGGTGACAGAATGTTTGCCAGTATCCCCACAAAACAAGTTAAAACTTAAGTGAAAATCATTCTGCTTTTGAATCTTAAAAGCTAGAAAAACCATAATGTAATATTCTTTTTAAACCCTCTTATTTTATAACTAAATAAATAATCACAGAAAAGAATGATCTGAACAAGAACAGCTGAGGCTAAAACCCAAGACTGCCGTGACTCCTAGTCCAATGTCTGTTTCGCATCACAACACAGTATCTTTAACAGTGCTTGAGATGCTTAACAGAGAAGGCATCCAGTGCTTCATTGAGGCTAAGTCTCAGGGTGTTTCTGCCGCTTAGTATCTTTTTGTTCAGATTGAGAACCTAAGGCGACAGAGAGGTCAAGGGGAAGTATTTTCTAGTTCAGAATTCAGAATTCTTAGGCAACCTTCATACCTTTATCTGGAAAATGCCTTCTCTCCAGACAATAAGACAGTTCACATCTGGAGACATCAGCCTTTGGTACCTAATTCTCTAAGCTCAAGATGCATCCCATTGCCACTTTACCATTCTATTTCCCAAGGGAACCATCAGCACCAACCTGCTAAATGCCTGTATTTGAAGTCTCTCCCCTTCCTGAAGTGACCTTTTATGAGGCTCTTTCCTTCCTAAGGGACCTTTCCCTGGTAGTAGTGGTCTCATTCACAAAAAAGAATAATAGATGTAACTGGAGTCACTTTGCAGTTTTCAAGATTTTTTTTTTATCTGCTTGGCTGGAAAGGAGACTAGAGTATCTAGTTTTTAGTATTTAAACTACTTTTAATTATTTATATTGATACTCTCTGATAAATGCAGGTAGTTAAGAATAGATTGTACTCATTCCTTTTTGAGTTTGTGACCTCAAACCATTGTTTTTATTCTTACACGACTACAGTACTTCAAATGGCACATAGATAGGCAGGATATTACATAGGTAAGCAGGAATTTATACATTGGGTACCAGAGCTAAATCTGGAAAACACATTTGGAATGAGCTTCCACACTTCAGTCTAAAATCTCACCCAAACTTATGGCTACATATTTTTCTAAGTTTCCCCCCTAGTTTCACTTTCTGGAAAGTGAACAGTTTTTTAAATCCTAAATGTTATAAATCCTTAGGAGAAATATTCCCTCAAAACCTAGTCAAGAAAGTGCCACATTCCCACCTTCTAACAGGTAATTATTAGTTGTAATAGCTTTAATGCATGGAAAAACTTCAGTTACTGACCAGTCAAGAGAATTTCTCAAGAAAAATCCCAGCAACGTTCCCTCTTTCCTCCTTGTCTTCCACTATCATTAAGACCTGGGCTAGATCACCTCTAACATCTCACTCAGGGAAGGCAATGTGTTGCCATAAAAAGACCACAAGCTTTTGAGTTAGGCCTGAATTTGAATTTCAGCTTAATCATGTGGGATTTATGGTGGGGGCCCTTTCAGTCTCAATTTCCACATTAGTGAACTGGGGAAATGATACATACTTCTAAGGGTTTTTAGGGGGATTAAATGAAGTATACAGTTCTTAGCCTCAGGCCTAGGATTAAGTAAGTACTCAAGAAATGTGCAATTTTCTAGTTCCATGTTTCTTTTCTAATCTTCAAATGGAATTATAGAAACCATGGGTCAGAACATATTCCTTTACTCAAAAGATTGCATGACTGAATTTGCTTAAGAAAAAAAAAATTGTATCAAGTCATTAATACAATTATACATTAATTATATTACATTAATACAATATATGGTTTGTGAATTCAGAGACATTACCAGTTTGCCTCCTTCTCTCAATAGAACTTGTATTTTCATTTTCTTGGTTAAGCAGTTGTCTCCTAATATTATCCCATATGCTACCTAGTTTGCTGGTCCCAAGCAGTTTACTGTACTTCACTAGATTTGGTACCTGCTCTCCCCTGGACTTCTTTTTCAATATTCTAGCCTTTCCTAGATGTAAATCTTTACCTCCTTGTTAGTGAAATTAGATATAAGCCATGATTTGGAGAGGGAAGAAATCTGGAATACTTAATTTCATTTAATTATCTATGCTGATGAATGCCTGTATCATTGTTAATAAAGGAGAATTGAAAATACTCATTTCTACTTTCTGCCCTCAAATTTCTGTTTCTATCTCAACTAGGCAAGAATCAGCAGGGTGCATGATGCCATTTTAAGCTGCTTCACATCAGACTGAAATCCTAATTACAGTTCATAAGTGAAACAGACTAATTCAATGGCAATACCTTTTGTATAGGTCCTGTGCTTAAAGGAGGCAAGTATAAATTTTCTAATAAGAAATCCCTGCTTCTTTTGGGTGCAGTGGCTCACACCTGTAATACCAGCAGTTTGAGAAGCTAAGGCAGGTGGATCACTTGAGGCCAGGAGTTCGAGACCAGCCTGGCCAACATAGTGAAACCCCGTCTCTTCTAAAAATACAAAAAAATTAGCTGGGCATGGTGGTGCACGCCTATAGTCCCAGCTACACAGGAGGCTGAGGCAGGAGAATCACTTGAACCCGGGAAGCAGAGTCTGCAGTGAGCCAAGATCGCGGCATTGCACTTCAGCCTGGGCGATAGAGCAAGACTCTGTCTCAGAAAAAAAAAAAAAGGAAAGAAAGAAATCTCTGCTTCCGTACTATCAAAACTTCTACCCTAGAATACCCCCTGGCACCTTCTAACCCAACCTAATACAGAGATTTTGTAGGGACCCATTAACAAGCTCCTATATAATTATAAGCAGCTCTCACAGTAGGGTTGAAAGAGAATATAAGGAAAATTAGAAGTACTGTATTTTTGCTATTGGAAATGAAATATTGTTTCATGCACCTTTGAAAAAAATAACAGGATTTTACAGCCTTCTGATGATTCATTCAAAGCATGGGGAATAGTTCATATGTTTGTTAAATGAAAATCTTATGTAGCTATTTGTGTGTCCCTCCCACTTCATAACTACAAAAACATATATATGAATTTCTAAACAAAGTGATATTTTAAAGATGAATTGATTCAATGTGTACTTACCAGTTTACTGTGTGGTTTTATCTTCAGGTACAGATAGTTTGTGGTACTACTTGAAAATACCTTTAATATTATTTTCATCAGAATTTGTAATATATAATCCAGTTTGGGATGATGAATAAAATTTTTCTAATCTCTTGAGATATCTTGTATTTATTTTTGAGACTTGCAGTAGAAATAACAGACACTAACATTCACAGACAATCTGATAAAATAGTAATCTTGCCACCAGTACAGTATTTCTAAAATTCAACTATGGGGACCCTAGTAGTCTGCACACATATACCTGGGTATCCAAAAGTTCTCAGAGATAAAACCTGCCAGCCAAAGACCACCAGGAACACACCTGTAATCAAACAAAGTTAGGTTTATTAGCTTGTTGTAGTAAGAGGAAACAGCCACCATGGGGAATCATAACATATTTCAGGGAGAAGGAACTAGAAAGGTCTTTTATAGGCTTTGAGCTGATGTCAAAATTGTTAAAAGTAACTGTGGTGGAGTGGAAATAACACAGGACATGGAGTAAAAAGTTCTAGTTTGTCTGAATCCAACAGTGCCATGACCAGTAGGATTCATTTCAGGTGTACATGGCTAGTTCAGCCTTAAAACAGTCAATGTAATGCACTGTATCAACAAAGTAAAGAAAATCATATCAATAGACACAAAAAGAGTCTGACAAAATCTAACCCTCATTCATGAGAAAAACTCAGTAAGTTAAAAATAGAAGATAATTACCTCAACTTGATGAAGAACATCTAAAACCAACAAACAAAAACCTGTATGTTTTAATAGCAAAAAACTGAATGTTTTTCCTCTAAGATTAGGAACAAGGCAAGGATGTCTGCTTTCATCACTCTTATTCAGCCTAATACTAGAAGTGCTAGTCACTGAAGTAAGGCAAAAAATAAATAAATAAATAAATAAATAAAAGACATGCAGATTGCAAAGAAATTTTTAAAAACTTTTCATTTGCAGATGACATGATTGTTTACATAGATAATACCAAGGAATGTATTTTAAAACAAGCAAACACCTGGAGCTAATAAGTGAGTTTTAGTGCAGTCACAGTATACAAGATCAAGACCAATACCCCCAAATCAATTGCATTTCTATATTCTAACAGCAAACATGAGAACAAAAACACAGTACTATTTAAAGTCACCCTGAAGAAAATGAAGTACTTAGGTATAAAATTAACAAATTATATACAAGATTTGTATGTTAAAAATGCTGATGAAATCAAAGACCTCAATAAATGGAGATGCATACCATGTTCATGGATTGGAAAACAACACAGTAAAGATGTCAGTTCTACTCAACTTGATCAATAGGTTTAATGCAATTCCTATCAAAATCTCAGCAAGGTTTTTAATAGACATAGACAAACTTATTTTAAAATGTATGTGATAAGTTTATTTCTCTAGAATATCTCAAGTAATCTTTATAAGGAAAAAGTAGCAGAAAGATTTGGTATCAGAAGACCTAAGTTCATTCTTGCACTTCAATAGATACCACATCTGATCTTATAAGGTAGATGTTATTTCCCCTTGTTTTGCAGATGAGGAAGCTGCAATTTAGAGGTAACACAGATCTTAAATCCTTGTTTTCTGACTTGAAATCCAGTGGCTACTCACTCTGCCAATTCTACTTAACTGTTGATCTGAAAAAAAAAATTTTTTTTTAATTATTACTTAAAACCAGCCTCTGATACTGAAAGTGAGAAGGATCACTCTACCCAATATTAAGGTTTATTATATAGCTATAGTAATTGTTATGGGCTGAATTGTGTTCCCTTATATCCCTCAAAATTCATATGTTTCAGTCCTGACCCCTAGTATCTCAGAATGTGACTGTGTTTGGAGATAGAGCCTTTAAACAGCTAATTAAGGTAAAATGAGGTCATATGGGTGATTCCCAATTCACTGGTGACTAGAGTCCTTAGAAGAGCTTAGGACAAGGAGAGGCACAGAAGGAGGACCATGTAGAGACATAGAGAGAAGATGGTCACCTACAAGCCAAGGAGAGGATCCCTCAGAAGAAACCAGCCCTGCCAACACCTTAGCCTTGGACTTCTAGTTTCCTGAACTGTGAGAAAATAGATTTCTATTGTTGAAACCACTCAGCTGTGGTACTTTGTTATAGCAGCCCTAGCAATCTAATGCAGTAGTCAAGACAGTATGGTATTGGTAAAAGGATACGCACATAGATCAGTGAAACAAAATAAACCAGAAATTGACCCATATGAGTATGTCCAACTGATTTTTTACAAAAGTGCAAAAGCAATTCAGTGGAGGAAAGACAGTCTGTTTTTTTTTATTTTTTCTTTTATAGACAGGGTCTCACTGTGTCACCCAGGCTGGAGTGCTGTGGCACAATCATTGTTCACTATCACCTCGAGCTCCATGGGCTCAAGCAGTCCTCCCGCTTCAGCCTCCCAAGTAGCCAGGACTACAGGTGTATGCCACCACACCCCGCTATTATTTTATTTTATTTTGTTGTTGACACGGAGTCTCATTATGTTGCCTAGGCTGCTCTCAAACTCCTGGCCCCAAGCTGTCCTCCACCTAGGCCTCCCAAAGTGCTGAGATTGCAGGCATGAGCCTCCACACCCAGCCAAGATAGACCTTTCAACAAATGGTGCTAGAGCAATTGGACATTCATAGGCAAAAACAAACTCAACTTGAATGAACCTCACACTTTGTACAAAAATGTACTTAAAATGGATCACATGCTTAAATGTAAAATATAAAACTGTAAACCCTTTTGGGAAAAAAATAGGAGAAAATCTTCATGATCTAGGGTTATGCAAAGCATTCTTTCTTTGACTTGACACAAAAAACACAATGTATAAAAGAAAAATGGATAAATTGGACTTCATCAAAATTAAAAATTGCTGCTCTGCAAAAGCCCACATGTAGGGGCTGAAAAGTCCAGCTACAGACTAGGAGGAAAATATTTGCAAACTGTGTATCTTGACAAAGGACTAGTACCTGGAATATATAAAGAACCTGAACACTCAGCAGTTTTTTGAAAAATTCAATTAGAAAATGGGCAAAGACATAGACAGACATTTCATTGAAGAGGATATACAGATGGCTAAGAAGCACATGAAAAAGATGTTCAACATCATTAGCCAGGGAAATGCAAATTACAACCACATGAGATATCATTGCATACCTATTAGAATGGCTAAAATTAAAAATAATGATAACACCAAATCTGCTAGTTGTTTCTTTTATGATTTTCTTTTTTAATGTGTACTGTGCACCGTTGTTTTTACTGTGATTTTACTAAAGAGTGTCCTTAAACATTTTACAAACATTCGTAATAGGTAACACTCTTCATAATAAAAAGGAATAACCTTGTCTGAATTTTTGGAAGACAGGTTTTTAGGTTTTTGTTTTTGCCTTTCCTCCAATTCTTTGTTGATTTACTTTGTCATTTTAATAACCCTCTTTTTATGATTTATTTTCTCTTTATTATTCCTTTGTGTTCTTCGAGTTTTCTTTAATTAGATTTATCAGTAAAGCCCTTTAGCAGCTAGTACTATTGTTCATAGTTCTCTGCAACTTTATCAGTAGGGCTTTTACAACCTAAAACTTCTAAATTCAAATTTTTTCTTCCGTTAATCTCAATAATTTGGAGGATGTTTTCTAGTGAATTTTGCAGGAAAGTTAATTGAGTGGCCAATGTTCTGAAAATGCTATACTACCAAATGTCTTTCAGATGACTTAGAAGATGACAGTCTCATAGTTGGAGAGTGGAAGAGTTTGCTTTGGAGCCCAAACTGGGCAACCGTCTAATCCAGCCAGATCCT